>NC_000003.12:117947998-118251028 GCF_000001405.40 Homo sapiens | reverse complement strand
TTTTTACAAATAGCAGTAGTTTTCTTACTGACATCAGTTAAAAAACTTTTCAGTTGAAATAGAGTGACAAGATAAATGGGTACATTCATCTTAAAGCTTGAGAAATACACAAGGCAATGTGTCTATATAAGAATTAGAAAGAAGCCATGAGAATTCTTAGATTGAGCTAAATATGCAAATGTAGTGAGTTTACTCAATTTTAATTTACTTGCAAGAGAAGCTAAACACTATAATGGTCAGATATAAACACTTATTTTTAACTTTTTTTTATAATTACCAGATTTTTTTTCCTTCTTCCTGTCTTTATATACTTGGTCATTTACTAGATAGCATTTTCTTCCTTTATACATCACACTTTTTAAAGGGAGCTTGAATTTGATATCAGTGAGAACTCAGTGAATGTAAGTTCTAGCAGATGTTCTTATATTAAGATATTGATAGGCCAGGTGCGGTGGCTCATGCCTGTAATCCCAGCACTTTGGGAGTCTAAGGCAGGCAGATCATTTGAGATGAGGAATTAGAGCAACCTGACCAACACGGTGAAACCCCGTCTCTACTGAAAATACAAAAATTAGCCAGGCATGGTGGCGTATGCCTGTAGTCCCAGCTACTTGGGAGGCTGAGACAGGAGAATCGCTTGAACCTAGGAGACAGAGGTTGCAGTGAGCTGAGTTCGCACCATGGCAATCCAGCCTGGGTGATGGAGCAAGACTCCGTTTCAAAAAAAAAAAAAAAAAAAAACAACAACAAAACAAACAAAAAAACAGATATTGCTGCAAAATAAAAGGGGATTTCAGAATGATTTAAGAATATTTTATCAGTGTGAGGGAAAAAAAAACCTTGGCTTTTCCAGGATAGATGAAATTGTGTGATGATAGTTAAGATATGAGGATGAAACCATACCAACTAATTAAAATAATGTTTTATTTGGAAGAATAACAAGGACTCCAAGCTACCTGAGGCCTCCCTTTCTCTGGAATCTTTCTGAGTAGGTTTTCAGATTTAGCAAATGAAAAATACAGGGTGTCCAGTTAAATTCAAATTTCAGATAAACAATGAATTGCCAAGATTGTACATATAGTAATAGTTACTTGTTGTTTTTGGAAATCCAAATTTAACTGAGTGCCCTGCATTTTACTTGCCAATCCTATGCCCCAGGATACCCAATGGTTCTCCTTCTTAGCCATTACAAGTCCCCTGAAGCCTTTTGTCCTCCTTACTCTATTAGCATGGTCAGTTCTCTTACTAAAATAGAAGGTAGTTCCATTGCCAGCACTATTTTGATCCTACTTAGGCTAGCAGAAAGGTGGATAGGTAGCTAGTTGTTTCCATTTAGTATAACGCCTTCAGAATTTTTTGTTGTTGTTACTAAAGTTACTTTCATAGACTTTTACCTCTTTATTACAGACACAGGTTACTAGGGCCTTATTCATTGATGCCATTACACAATATCATGGCAAAGTCATCCTTCCTGACAAAAATCAACTTGTGTTCTAAAACTGTACTCAGATTCCTGGATTCCATTTTATTTTACAGTAAGATTCCCCCACCCACACCACGTAGAGCAGCTCTTTTGAGGTGAGGAGGTAGCCCCTCTTCATTAGAAAGCCCTTGCCCCTAGTCAGACTCTTAGATCAATTTACATTATTTATTTTTTCTGCAAGAAGTCTAAGTTATTCATTTCATAAAAATGCTGGAAATACCACAGGATACAGGCTAAAAAATAAAAATAAAAAAGGATTCTCTTTGAACATCAAGCTAAATATGATGAAATTAACCATCAAGATAGAGTTGGATAAAACCTGTAGAGTAATTACAGAATAAGAAAACTTTTAGCTCTTGGTGGCTCCTAACTGCTCGTAATTACTCCACAATTAGGTAAATTCAAAAGTATAGTGAAAAACTGTATTATCTGAAATATGTTGATTAAAAAGGGTGATTGTCAAGCTGGGTGGGTTTTTTTTTGTGGTTTGGCTAAGATCACTGACTTGTGTTTGTCTTGGTCAATACTATTTTCACTGACTTGGAATTTGGTAACATTTATCTGGAAATTAACTGTGGGGGTGCCCAAATATTAATGTTTAAAAAGAGATGAAAAGAGTGGACATGTGTGCATATAGGATTCAAGCTATCATTTTGTGTGGGTTGTGTCACATAAAGGTTGCTAGTAAGTTGAGTTATAGATAGCTAGGCACAAAATCAGTTGCCAGGGAGAGAAGATCTTACATTCTGTCAATATTATCAATTCAATAAGATTGACTTTTTTGAGCTGTATCACCACCTCTGGGCTGAGTTCACCATGCACTTCCAGGTGGTATAGAGTGACACTAGGCAACTATACCATGTGGCCACTAAAAGAACTAATTGGCTGTCATCCTGCACTCATATCCTTATGCAGTAAATAGTATCTGTACCCTTTCTTGCACCCATAGTCTTTCAGTATATGTATGTGGCCTAATAATTACTGATAGTGAAGGTTTATACCAAGCTACTGTTTTAACCAGATAAGCACATTTGTGGTATTAGCAGGCATCTGAGACATGGAAGCAAATTTGTCATAGAGAAAAGGCCATTATGATGGAACCTGTTAGCCTAAACTACAAACCTTCCCACAGTTAGCACACATTGGACATGAGAGAGGTTAGGTTAGTTTTGAAGCAGACAGAAGGAACAAGAAGAGTCTGAAGAGTAAGAATAAACATGGATTATTTCACGATAGTGATTATAGAAAAATGCATGTTCACGTATGCACGTAGGTGTGTTTTTACTTAAGGAAAGTGTTAGTTGAATTTAAAAACAGGTTGACGACATCCCAACTCACAAAGAAAAAAAAAACACAGTAATATAGAACCAGCACAGTATTAAAAAAGCTTCTAAAAGGCTCTCAATTATGGTAAGAAAAATCAAATTTTATGCTGCTTAAAAGAGATGCACTTAAAGCACAATGACACTGAAAAAATAAAAGTATAAATTAGTAATATCAGGCAAACACAAAAATAGAAGAACTTAAAATTTTAAAAAGAAAAAAGTAAATTGTTCATTTCTTTACTAATAGCCTTGTATATACTCCACTGCAAAATTTCCGTCAAGGACTTCTCCCTGACTATTAAACCCAAACAAGAGACAGTAAAGTGAATAGAATGTCACTTTATTCTGATAAATGATACAATCTACAGTAAAGATATGAATCATAAAGATTTATGCCCTAAACATTATTATATTAAAATGCATAAATCAAACTTTTAGATAAACAAAAAGAAAGTGGCAATAGCATGTTTCTTTTAGCCCTTTATTGATCAAATAATAATAAAGGATGATGATCTAAATAATATAATTAATGGAATTTAATCTGTCAAATGAGTAACTTGATAGATAAAAGATAAATATATAGATAACCTAATTTGATAATCTTTAGACAGAAAATATTAACTTTTTAGCCTCCAGCCTATTTTAAAAATAATTTCTGTGTTAGGCCACAGTAAATACTCGAAAATTTCAAAATGCAGAATATTTAGAAGCCATATTTTCTGCTTAAAAAAAGTAAACTTTAAAAATTTTATTTTATTTTCAATGATGCCTATATAATCTTGTCACTTGGAATTGAAACAAATACACCAAAAAATACTCTTATGAATAACTTGAGAGTTTAAGAGGAAAGTTAAATTGTAATTAATAAATAACTGCTAATATTTTTTAAGCATCCATTATATGTCAGGCCCTGGGGAAAGTACTTTAGATATAGTGTATATTATAAACTCACAACAATTTATTTACAATAGCAGCCCCAGGGCCCCATATACAGCCTTATAATGACATACTTTTCCCCCAAGCACTAATTTACTCCCCAACATTATATGATATATTTATATGTTCATTTGTTTACTGTCAATTGCCCAGTAAAATGTAACCTTCATGCGGACAGGAATGTGGTCTGGCTTCTTTGTCACTATACTGCAAGCACTTACATCAGCGACTCAACGTGGCAGATCCTTCCTAAGTATTTGCAAAGTCTGCAAGGTAGATACTATCATCACTACTTTTTTTAGATGAGAAAACTAAAACATAGAAGGGCTAAGGAGCTAACTAAAGGTCACACAGTTATTGAGAGACCAGAATTTCAATTCTTGAGCTTACCTAACTCTAGCTCTTAATCACTATAGTACATATGTTTTGAATATACTGCTAATAAAAAAATAGAAAGTTTAACCAAAATCCAAACTTGACTCTTAAGAAAGCCCTAGTTTAAATGTTTTTATTACTAATTAAAAATAAAATGTGATATAATAAGTGGAGCATTAATCCCATGAAGTCACAAAAATAAACTATAGAAAGCAGGGAGGAATAAAATTTTATAGCAAAAATATTAATTTATGTCAAAAGTTTCTATGAATTCAAATGAAAGGCAAATGAACAGAAAATATGTTTGAAACATATAAGACAAAGAGATGATGTTATTAATTCATAAAGTATGCTTACAATTAAGTAGAAATACTATGCTTAGAGGAAAAGATATACTGATTTTACTCGAACCACAAAATACAAGACTATACATCTTTTTAAAAGAAGATGACAATTTAAGCAGCAGATTAATGTATTATGAGATTTAGAAAAAACTGACTCACAAGTAAAGCTGTGGCCAAAATATTTTCATTACAAATTACAAGTAAAATCAATAAACCATTTTGTACTGGGTGCAGGACATGACTTCAGGAATTCGACAAAAGAAATAGACATAGATCAAAAGACACAATCCCCTTCCCCAGGATTTTATGCAATAATTGCAGATCATTATCAAATGTCCAACTGTGTAGATGATGTGAGGAAATAGGCACTTTCAAGTATTTGCTGGTTAGAGCATATTTGGAATGTCCTCTTTTTTCAGTGTAGTGTATTGTGAGTCTTAAAAATATTTATACTATTAAACAGTCATTCCATTACTAAGATGCTGTTTTAAGTAAATTAGATGTAGTTTAAGATTTAAATTCAGGGATGTTCATTTCAGCATGATTTAAAATAGAAGAGAAATGAGAAAGCACTATCGAGTAATAGAAAATTAGTTCAATTCAACCGGGCGTGGCGGCTCACGCCTGTAATCCCAGCACTTTGGGAGGCCGACGCGGGCGGATCACGAGGTCAGGAGATGTAGACCATCCTGGCTAACACGGTGAAACCCCGTCTCTACTAAAAATACAAAAAAATTAGCCAGGCTTGGTGGTGGGTGCCTGTAGTCCCAGCTACTCGGGAGGCTGAGGCAGGAGAATTGCTTGAACCCGGAGGTGGAGGTTGCAGTGGGGTGAGAGATCGCGCCACTGCACTCCAGCCTGGGCGACAGAGAGAGAGACTCCGACTCAAAAAAAAAAAAAAAAAAAAAAGAAAGAAAAAGAAAATTAGAAAATTAGTTCAATTCGTTCAATGAACTTTCCCTTGGGCATCTAGTTTTTTTCAATTCTTTCAATTATTAAAAAACCTGTGAGTTTCTACTATTAGCTGCCACTGTGCTGGTTATTGATGACGTGACAGAAATCCCATTTCTAGTTCTTGGGGATTGTAGTCTGGTCTAGTCATTTAGATTTCTGCTTAGGTACCTGGCATCCCCAGACAGTCAACATTCCCTTTCGTAATAAAGTAGCCTGGATGAAATTATTAAAATTAAAAGTTTGTGTCCCATTTCTTTAACAGGATGCCTGGGCCCTTGGTGATGTGCTTCCTCCTTATCTCTCCTGCCTTGGCTTTTGTACGTCAACCTCCTCCATACTCCAGACGTACCACAGACATACCAAACTCTTCCTTTCCTAGATGGGGCCAAATCTTCTCTGTCCTTTGTACCGTCATATGTAAATTTGCCTGTAACACTTTTCTGTTTCGGGCCTCCTTAGGCTAGATCCTACTAATCCTTCAGTTGTCTGTAAAACATCCATTCCTATGTGGTCTTCTCTGCATCCAGACCTTTGGGAGCCATCCTCTTATGTGCTCCTGTGGCAATTCACTGGGCCACCATAGAGCACTTTGAACACTGAAATATGATCCACAATTTACTTGTCTGTACTTCCCTCTAGTCTGTGAATGCCTTGAGGGAAGGGACCACGTGCAGCTTCTTCACAGTGGGGCTTCTGTTGCATACCTACTCTGTATGGGTCGTAGCATCCACTCCAGTACTCCTTGGATTCTGATCGCATGAAATGAATGTAAAACATTGTTTTAAAGAATATTTGCTAACATTGAAGAAAGCTTATGATGAGCATCATGTGAAGCATTTTGGATATTTTCCCAATTTTAAGTTATAATTAATATATAAATACAAATATAAATATATATAATGTGAGTTCAATAATTTGCTACCTTCCTATCTACATACAACTTCCTGACCAAGTTTTCTGTCTCATTTTTTTAATTCCTTCTGGCCACTTCCCATTTCCTACACAAGTAATCTTTGTTAAACTCAAATCAACTCATATAAGTCCCCTGGATGAACTTTTCCCAGGTTCCCCATTTCTTGTGTGCTTCTAATGACTTGTTGTTGACTCTTCAACTCAGACTGTTTGCTTTGCACCACACCTGCAGGCTTGACAAAATGATTTCTAAGTTCTTTTACATAAGTTGTTCTCTCTAACTGGACTCTTCTTTCTCTATTTGTTATCTAGGTAACACCTACTTTTTCAAGAATGAGCTTAGACCCCACGTGTGTAAGAAGCTTTTTTGCTCCTCCTCTAGTCTTCAATTACCTTCTACCAATGCCTCTATTACAGCATATAGGCTGTTTCATTATTGTCTATTATTTATTTCCCTAGCTTTGTAGTCCTAGAGCTCCCTGGAAGATGGGGTCTCTGCTTTGTAATACTTTATCTTCAGTTGTTAGCACAGTGCCTGGTATATAGTAGCCATTCAAATATGATGAATGAATACTGGACATCTTATAGGCATTTTTCTCTATATTACAAGAAAAATATCTAACATTATAAATGATTCCAGATAGCATTTTATATACTTTTTAGCTTTATGTAAAATTTAAAAAGTTTTTATAAATTATAACCACTATATAACCAATGATAAACATATTAATTGTATTTTTATTTAATCTCCTAACAAAGTTGAGTAGTCTTAATATCTATATCTACATGTGTATATCCATGTCTATATCTAGAAGAACATTGAATCCAAGAATATTAAATAACTTGCATAATACCATGCAGCTAGAAGAACAAAGAGCAAGAATTAAAACTCATACTTGTCTGATTTCAAAGGCCAAGACACACCACAATTTACTAATTGTTTCTATGTTACAAATAATATAAAATATAACTTTATTGAAAATTTACTATGTATCAGGCCCTGTTCTGTGTTACACAGATTATTTTATTAAATCTATATAATTACTCTATGAGTTAGGTTTTATTACTATGATTGCAGTTTTATAGATTAAAATAAATAGGTACACAGAGGCTACATAACTTGCTCCATCAATCTCAGCTGGAATGAACTGGTCTTGAATCTAAATAGCCTGACTCCAGAGTCAGATTTTAACCATTAAGCTATATCATCTCTCAGCTGAGGAAGCCTATTGAGCTTCCAGATTTTCTAAAAAATTTCAACATAGATTTAGTCAAGTATTCATAAAATAAGTATAGATAAACATTTCTGAAACCTAAATGTGAGAAAAAGACTTTTTTGATTAATTATAAGTAATCAAGATTAATGAAGTGATACAATTCCAAATGAAAAATTTTAGTAATCATTAGAAGGTAATTCTATACATAAATTGTTAATAGGATTGGAATAATAATTAGACTGCCAAAAAGACCTATTGTAAAATGTTAAAATTGGCATCAGTGAAATGGAAAAGTTTCTTTAATTTTAAATATCATTACTTGCTGCAGTGCTCACCTGATTTAATGGTAGTCTGTCAAGAATTGTTTAAAAAAGAAAAAAGAGAAACTCTTTATCTGAAACAATTCAACTTTTATCTAATTTGATATAAGAATACAGTTTTGCACGTTTTTAATATTTATTTAATTATTCAAATTTCCATGGGAGGTGATGGATGGAAGGGGTGTGTGTGTGTGTGTGTGTGTGTGTGTGTGTGTGTGTTAATGAATGTGTCACTTTTTAAACTTCCATCTCAAGAGAGTTTGAGCAAGGTTCACTTGCAGAAGGAAAAAAATATGTAAGTATCAGAACAATCACAGAATTGTTTGCGTGTGTTGTCTTCTTTTCTTACATGCTGATATTGTGTCTAACACCATATAAAGTGGGTTAGTGAAGCATAAAGAGCAATTTTTTTACATTTTGGGGTATTTTAAATATTTGTTTGGGTTGTTTTAATGCCTGATTTAATGTACTAGCTTTCACATACACTCATATTTCTGGCCATTTAAGAGACAGTGCTGGAAGTACCTCTTTCTGTATACCACCTTAACTCTCACAATTAATGAATGAAAAGCCTCTGGCAGATTAGGTACAATGCTGTAGTAAAGGTATCCATAAACACAGGTCAAAGTGTTTGCAATATTTGATGCAAAATTTTGGAGACAAAACATTGATCATAAAAGGTCCTAAACTATTAAATCAGTAGGAGTTAGTGGGCAGCCCTAACAGTGGTCATTATTAGTGGCCATTTTTGTGCCGACTATTCAACGTAAGACTGAAGACTGGACAATAGGCCAGGAGTGTGTTCATAATCTGTACTTGGAAATAATTCAAAAATATGGCTTAAAGAGTTTGCTTTTAAATGTATAAAATTATTCCCTAATCTTTTCCAAATCTCCCACCCCCACTATCTGCCAGGTAAAATCTGGAACCACTACCCTTTCCCCATATATCTTTCAGACATTTTTTAATGGTTCATGTCCCTTTAGCTACCAATACTGCTAAACTTCACCCAGCAGGTCAGCTATATCCAGATCCAGAGCCTAGCCTAATCAAAACCTTACTGGTAATAGGAACACCATTCTTGAAACATGATTGAAACCTTTTTTTTTATATTCAAAGCCTGAATCACTACATGCCTGGATGATGTTTTTGGCTCTATGTCCACCGAGCTGCAACCACTGCTCACTACGACCCTATGTGTGCCTCATAGATATGACTGGGTTTCTGCTCTGTAGTCCAGGGTTAAAGGACTCAATATTTGGAATCAGACAAAGATGGGTTCACATCTTGGCTCAAACCAATTAGTAGTAATGTAACCGTGGGCAAGTTTCTTAAGAATTTTGCATCTCAGTTTCTTTTTTTATTAATATTTACTTATTATTTTTAGTAACTAGGAATTAGCATTCATTCATTGCTTCATATTTGCCAGATATTCTTTGAAGTCCTTCATCATAGGTAATTTTTTATCCTTATTTTACTAAAATTCACTTCGTGGCTTTTAAAACTTCACTCTACCACCTCTTATAAACTATTTTTATAGTGACTGAAAGGAAGAATTTATTTGAATTTTATAGGCAAAATGCCTAAAACAGTGCCTCTGACATCGTCCTTACTAATTTATATTATTACTAATAAAGTACATCAATTTTGTAATTCATAATGCCATTTCCTTTCTTTTATTGAAGTCTTCTAAGCATCAGATCTCTCCCTGGGGTCCTGATAATCTCTAATCTCTCTGGTTCTTTCCAACCTCTTGTTTTCCAAGATCTGGGCCTTTCCTTTCCTTCTGTGATCCTGCATGAAAGTGACTGATGCTCCCTGACAATTGGATTATCTATACTTTTGATGCCAAATATTGCCATTTTCTGCATATACTTAGCCTATTGTCATGTCTTACCACTCAGATCACAGTCTGTTGATTAGCTTCAGACCACCTAGAACCTTGAGCACTGGTCAACTGGTTAATCCCTGTAAGGTCAAACCTGAAAAGCTTAGTTCCCAGCCTTGGTCTTTCTAGATTTTAGTCAGCTCCTCTCTCTGAAAACTCCACATTAAAGATCCCTCAACTTGTCACAGCTGAGGTGTAGCTAATTATTTAATTTAGATGCGAAAAAAATGTAAAAGAGTATGGTACATACCACCCCAAAGATTGGTCTTGAATTTACATATTTCAGCCACTCCAACAGAAGGAACTTTATGTTTCTGGGGTACAAAAATAGATACTGTCTAGGACTGTCAACTAGATGCTTTTTCTTAACAGTGATTTTGCATTGTACTTCTCTGTCATTCAAGCCTGATGCAGGAGCTTTTTACAATTGGCCTATTGTAGGAACAGGGATTTAATCACATTAGTGTCTTAAGAGGACTTCTTAACAAGGTGAGTCACTTAATCTTTCTGAACCTCAGTTTCCTCATTATGAAATGAGGATAATATGATGATCTAATATAATGAAGATAATTATGCAGTGATCAAAGGCAGAATTATAGGCTTAAAAGCTGTGGGAACCAGAAAGCAGAGGGGTAGCATCTCCTTTGTCATAGTGTTGTTCTTGCCTCATTTGAAACTAAAGAGAAAATGTAGAAAATGGGCCTACTCCCCATTAAAAGGTAAGAAGAATAAAATTGAAAGGCAGATAATAGATGCAGCATGGCCTCCCTAACTTCTCTGTGAATTTCTCACGAAACACTAGAAACTTTCCTTTGACTCATTTTATGCTACTTTAATGTAAGCCTTTTTACTTGGAGCGTTCACAACAGGATTACTAGAGAGCCTTTTACTTTGCAGATCTTTTATTTTTTTAAATATCCATAAAGAGCTGCTTCAACCTTCTTAGCAATGTCTCCCCTCTTTCTATATTTGATCCTATTTCTTTTTGTTGTTCAGGTCATTTCTCACTGGTGAGCCATGCACTATTACCCACTGCCCTAGTTTGTTGAGAACCTGTAATGTGCTTAGTTCTGTGTTCGGTACTGAAGTGCTAGAGAAGGAATATAAGGCTCTCACTATTTGACAGTGACATGACTATGAGGTCATCATGGTCTTCACTTTACAAATCAGCAATGCAAGGCTCAAAGAGGTGTATGACTTAGCAAGGTAAAGCTATTGTGGGAAAAAGCAAAGGCTTAAAGTCAAGGCTTTGTGACTTCAAAGACCTGAGGTACAGATGCACTTTGCATGTGTGTGACTCAGGAGAAAACTAGGTTGCCAAGAAGAAGGTAGCACATTGGAAGTACACAGAAATGGGGCAGCAATGAAATATGTTGCTTCAATTTCGGGTCTATGCCTGTAGACTGGGGCTCACTGGCGAACTCAATACCCTAGTGAGGACAGGAGGGAGATTGTTCCGAGGTAATGAAGTTAGAGAGCAGTTAGGGCCACACCAAGGCCTGGTCATAGTAGGAAGAAATGGAATTAATGTTAACCAAGACTCTAGAACATCTTTTTATGGCAAGGGAGGTTGAGAAGAGCTGTTTGAAGCATAATTGTAGGTAACATACAATAAAAGTCTTACTGGGAAGTGGAAGTTGAAATAATCACAGAAAATGTCCTTCAAGACCAGATCTTTTGGTTTGGCGTTTTTCCTCAGCACTCACAATGTAGGGAGGCATGCGGATAGTAAATAGTGGGGGTGATCGAAGGTTGGGTGGCACAGTATTCAAAGACAGTCAGGGGCAGTGGGAGATTGACAGAGGCAGCTGGCAGCAGATAGCAGGGCTGTGGTCATGAGACGGGGCCAGTTAGATGTGTAGGAGTGGCCTAATGGAACTGCTGCAGTGGGGCTTGTGGGTTCACCGAAGACCAGCAGCTGACACATAGGGATGGATGGGGAGTGGAAGATGGACAGGTGAGAAGGTTGTGAAAAGGAACCAGACCTATATATCAGGTGGTTCAAAAATCTCCACAGCCCAGGCCCTTAAGAGAATTCTCCAACTTTTATTATGTTGATAAATAGAGAGGAGATGTCAGGATCGCTGTATACAGTTGAGGGAGGAGGCGGTCTTTCCTTCTCTGTTCTTTTCTTTCTTCTTATTTTTATTATTTTTCTTGTCAGTATTTAATTGCCACCTTTATTTTCTTTAAGAATCAAGACATCTGCTTTCCTGGTTGAGAGGTACAGTGTATGGAAAAGACAAAGAAAAGATGAATACATTTTGCTCCCCCATGAGTCAGTCTCTTTCTCCTCCTCTCCTCTCCCCCTCCTTTTAATTATTCAACACCATCCTTTTTCTTTATTCACGTATCCTCTCATCTCAATGTTCATGTCACACTGTTATTCTTAAATCATACCCACTGGAGGGGAGAGAGGGTTGTCTAAGATCTAAAATATGGAGGTTACAATTTATAATGCACATATATAAAACAGAGCTCAGCAGCGTTTCCTCTGACCTCTTCGATACCACTCCCAGATGCTACACCAGAGCTAAGCACAAGGACATGAAAGTTTTCCATTAGCCTACCAGTCTTTGGTTCTCTCTCTATCCCTCCCACAGATGAGGACCTCTGGGCAAAGACTTTCATAAATTAAAGTGTGTTGTTAATTATTCTTAGACACCAGAAGCAGTTCTTTCAAACAGAACATATATTAGACTTCAAAAAGCAGTTCTATTCTGAGCTCTTTAACACTACCTCATCAGTGGATTTCTAAAGAGGAAATAAAAGAGATTTTAAAACAACAGATATGAAATATATAGAAGGGTTTCTTCATGGCATAAACCAAATGTCCTGTCCTATTTTTGAAAAAGGTTTTGAGGGGGTTATGTCACTAGAAACAAGTGAAGAGTAATAAAATGCAGGATTTAGTCTGGGGTAAATCAGGATGGAGTAAAGGATGAAGTCATTTCTTCCTAAGGCACTAGTTTTTTTTCTCTCTCTCTCTTATCTCTTTCTGTAGTTGTCTTCCCTGCTTCCAGTCATTTATTCAACACCTATTTATTGAACCCTGTGCTAGGCTTTGAGGACAGAGAAATTAATGAAGCATAGTTAGTCTCTGCCCTCAGAAGCTCTCAGATGACAAAACGACCATTAATTCCATTAATCTGAAAAAAAAAGCAATTGTGGAAGATCAAGAAAAGTGACCCCAAAGTTGCAATACAGTGGATAACTCCATGGGCAGGCCTGCTGCCAACCCAGAGTCCCCAGGGTGGATATTCAATACCTTGATTTATTCATTGTGGTCTAGGCTCTGCTCATTTTCTGCATACTCAAGGCCAGATATCAGCTGATCAACCCACTATAAACAGATCCATCTCTAAGAAACAGGTTCACATTGTGTGGCCTCACAGAGATAGACTACAACCAAGAATGCCAATAAGACACACAACTGTCAAGGGGAACAAACACTTCTGCTTGCTGGTCAGGGTATTCTTTCCCTGAAAGGAGACACGGGACAGTGAGAAAGAGTGAGAAGTTTGAAGAGTTTCACTATCAGTCTCTGGTGCATCAGGTGTTGCCTTCATATTTATATTCCAGATAATGTTTTTATTTTCATCCAAGTTTTTAAAGGACCTCTATTTTATTCCTTTCTTATACGGTTACATAGTTTCTGAACATGCATCAAGATACAGATTTAGAAGACTGTCCCAGACTTATTAACACAGAATATCTGAGGAATGAGCCCTGGAGGCATTTTTTAAAATAATTTTTTCCGTGTAATCCTTATACATACTGAAGTATGAGAGTCATCAATCCACAAGAAGAGATTATAAAAATATTCCAATTTCTAGGACTTGTTTTAGAACCATTAAGCTACAACCAGAGACATGTATAATATGAAGTGGAGAAATAAGAAAACTATTCAATCAATCTTGGCTACATATGCCAGCAAAGTACAAAGTATTCTCTTGATCCTTATGATGGGCTTTAGTACCTTGACCCTCATAAGAAGTCTTCAACTTGTAGCATGTGACTAAGAAACCATTTCAGTTTGTGGCAATGCATTCTATTGAAGGATTAACTTCTATGCAATGCTCGCCTCCCTTAAAAATTGAAATCAAGTAAAAATAAACACGTAAAGTTACAGTCGTACCACAATTCTGTGGGTCAGGTTTGCTAAGGAAAGATAGAGAATTATCAAATTCTCTGATCCTTTTTTCTGCTGTCTTTGAGTCTTAGTGCATGTGGCCTACCTATCATACCTAAAAGTACTCAATTTTTTGTGAACTTTTCCCTTCTGGGAAGAAGAGTACTGTTTAGACCAAAGGGTAGTGACTGTCTTCTTAGTGAAATTCAGAAAAATGGAGCAATAACAGTAAAAACCCATTGTAATGACCTATGTCAGTGTTCCCCACTTAAAGTAGACTCATTGATATTAATAAAATATAAAGGCATGAAACAGGGCTTAGAATTGAGCTCAACTGCATTGGTAATGATTTACTGTTCAAAGAAAAAGGTGATAATAGAAATCCTTTTGAAATGTCTTCGACATTGGGAATGCATGAGAAGCACGGGAAATTTTTCTTTTATAGTCAAAGGGTTCTAGCTCCTTCTTCTAACTCATAATCTAGAGTTACTTGACGTCCAGGGTGAGGGAATTATTGTCTCTTCCTTTGCTTTATTCCTCATCAACAGAGAACGCCAATGATGTTGCATCAGAAAATCTGGTGGTGTAAGGGTCTTGGAACACCACGTGGGGACTTGAAACACTTCTAAAGACCCTGATGTGCAACATATCTTAGAATTCTTTACATTCAGACATGTAAAATCAAGATACAAAAAAAAGGCTGCTACCCTATTATACTACACTTAGAAAAGACTTCAAATGGAAGTCAGAAAATATTTTACCTAGTAGAGAAGCTTCTGTGAACCCTCAATCGCCTTCTGTGATTTGTCTCTCAATAAGGTATGAATTGTCCTCCTCTAGCCCTGTTCCTGTCTCAGGGTACCACATTTCCTTTTGTAGTTCATTCATAATAAACTGAGACCAGTAAAGAGTGTAAGACTCATTGAATTCTCTTGTCAGAAAATTCCATTTTATATGAGAAAGCATGTATGATACTATTCCCTTTTTTAAATATTGAGTTTTATTTTCTGATTATAATGTTTTGGAAAATGTGATGATGCTCATAGAAAATGTGAAGAAAGAAGCATAATATTATTACCCAGAGATTGCCATGCTAATATTTTGGTATCTTTGGTATACACTACCAAAGATTTATATATGTCCTGTATAAATTATGCACATATATAGATACTTCTATATATATGTGAATATATATAAAATGTGAATATTCATTTTATAAATATGTGAATATGCATATAAAGACAAATATATCTGCAAATATATGTATATATATATACAGGTGAAATATGTTTTCTAAAATATACATACTTTAATTTTGCTTAAATTATATTATGTAAATCTGATATGGTTAAATACACTTTAAAGATAAGATATTTTTAAGGGCCACATAATATTTTGTAGTTTGATATGTCATAAATTATTTTGCTATTCTTTCAGAGAATACTTCTTATAAAAAAAGTACCATGTGTAACACTCTTTTCATAGATCTTTTATTTTGTAATTTTGCATTTTTCTCTTATTTTCAGTGGGTGTGGTAAGCTAAATAATGATCCCCAAAGATATTCATGCCCCAAATTCTAGAATCTGTGACTATCTTACACTAAATGGCAAAAGGGAGTCTGCAAGTGTAATCAATGTTACACATCTTAAAATAGGGTGATTATCTTGAATGACTCAGGTGGGCACAATATAATCACATGAACCCTTAAAAGCTGAGAGCTTTCTCTGGCTAGAAGCAAAAGAGAGATTTAGCAGAAAGAGAAGGAGGGATATTACAATCATGAGAAGGATCCCCTGTTGTTGCCAGCCCTGGGCAATAGTGGCCCATGAGCAAGGGCTGGAGAGAGGCCTTACTAGGAGAAGCCTCAGCTAGGAGCAGCCAGCAAGCAAAGGAGGACTTCAGACCTTCAGCTGCAAGCAACTATAGATTCTTCCCAGAGTCCCCTGTTGAGAAACCAGCCAGCAGACAATCTGATTTGGGCCTCTGTAACTGGAGCAGAAAAATTGTCTGAGCCAATCCATACTTCTGACCTACAGAACTATGAGGTAATAAATTTATGTCATTTTAAGCTGTTTGGTTTGTGGTGGCTTATTATAGCAGTGATAGAAAACTAATACAGTAGCCTAGAATATATTCTTTTATCAACAACCCATTATTTAATTTACTTTTACTTTTTTGGCTTTTAGATTAGGTCATTATTGTCTTTGGAAACCTATTCTTTGAAGTTTTCATATATGAACTTAATGAATGGAATAAAAAACAAACGTTGCACTGTTGCCATTTTAGCCAGAGTTATTCGCATTGTATCCACCAGGTAGCCCGCCAGACGTTGCTGTCAAAGGATTGTACACTGTTATTCAAATTTGTATAAAGTTTTTGAAGGGTCTTTCTGATGAACTGTATAATTCTGCAGTAGTGACATTATTGTGTTTGAAATATAACGTGAAACCAATTGATCAGTTGACTTCTAAATTATATGCTAAAAGGGACTCTAGATAACTCTTTTGCTCAATTCACATTTATACTTGACTGTCATTTAGAAGGGCTCTAGCAGAAAAAAATTTTCATAAGGAAAATATACTTCTTATGTCTGTGTTTCCTGGGAGCTATATGAATTCTCCTATGGAATGATTAAAAATGAATGACTATTTTACATACTAGTTAAATAATGGAAACATCCATAAAAATAAAAATTTACTTTTTGCAACATTTGATTGGAACTTTTTGCTTATAGACTTGTCAGCAAATAATTTACTGTTCTGGATTCTCTAAGAAATCTTAATGTAGGTGTAATTCATCCATGATCCCACGCTTAAATAGTAGCTCTGGAACCCCTAGAAAACAACTATTGCAAAAATAATTAAAAAAAAAAAAAAAGGCCGGGCGAGATGGCTCATGCCTGTAATCCCAACACTTTGGGAGGCTGAGGTGGATGGATCACTTGAGGTCAGGAGTTCAAGGCCAGCCTGGCTAACATGGTGAAACCCCGTGTCTACTAAAAATACAAAAATTAGCCAGACATGGTGGCCACATGCCTGTAATTCCAGCTACTCAGGAAGCTGAAGTGGGAGGATTGCTTAAACCTGGGAAGCGGAGGTTGCAGTGAGCTGAGATCATGCCACTGCCTCCAAGCTTGGGCTGCAGAGCAAGACTCCATCTCAAAAACAAAACAAAACAAAAAACCTTTTTTCTATGAAATGTTTCTGTTCTAATATAATAAATGTACTGAATTATAATTAGTGCTATGCTACCATCAGACACTTCTCTCTGCAGGTAATGCTGTTTTTTTGCCCCCCTGGGAAAACAAAGTTAAAATAAGGCAAAATCTTTCTTATTAGCAAGACCTAAAATTCTATTATTGAGAATTCTGCATTGAATATATACAAAAGTCCCAATTCTCAAGAGCTGGAGAACTAATGAACACAGGGAGAGAGGCCCAAAGAGTGATGCTCCAGGTAAGGGGTTGGACAGTAGGGAGACCAGTTTAAGTGAGGGAAGTCTGAAAAAAGGCCATACATACCTGAGGATTTGGGGAAGGATATAACAAGCCAAAAACAGCAAGAGAAAAAGAGCAAATGTTTATATTTGTTTAATTTTGGTGGCTGCCACAAGATGAATGGTCTTATTAATTTTCAATGTCAGGGTACCAAGAGAGATTTAGGAAGCCTTACCAACTTTCCCATAACAATAAATATAAAATTGATAAAATTAATGTGCTTGCGCTAAAATGCAGTCTTAAGGTATGTTCTCAAGCTACCTTACACCCTCACTTTTAATGCAATTGATACACTCAGGTCCTTTTTCACAGAAATGCGGACTCTGTTATTGTTGAGAGAAGTTAGTATGCATTAAGGCCCTGAACTACCCCTTAGGAAGTCCAGCGATAGAATGCTCCAGTACCTCTGCCCACTCTTAATGCCCACACCTTTGTGAGTATATGTCTAGCCTCTTGTCTCTGCCCACTGTAGCTTGCTATCGAATTACAGATGCATGCTAATTACAATTGCCTAGCACAGCTGCCATCTGCCTGGCCTATGACTCCTTGAAGTCACCCATGCTTTGGTAAAACTCAGAGGAATTTGAAGTCAGAGGGTACATAAACTGTAAGCGTTGCTGAGTTATAATCACCTTGCCCATATCCCTGTTCTTCTTGCTTGTCACATACTCTAAAACAACTAATTCCCTACTGTAGTCATCCTTTTGGCATTCTGTTTCCTATATCCAATCAAATGTTACACTCTCCACTTTTCTCAAAAGACTTCTGAATTTCAGAACCTATTCGAAGGTCAATAAGCTCCACTGTAGTCTTAATCTTTCTATACTTCCCCTACACCTGCAGGTCGTTAACTGAAACCTAGGGTTCTCCTGTATTTTCTTCTGAAAGCTAGAGTTCTCCACATTTTCCTCATTTTTATCAAGCAGAAGTTGCTTATTTTCCCTTACCCTGTGTGCTTAAAGGTAACAACAGGAATAGGTGTCTCTGTCTCTCTCCACTTTACTGTAAGACCACTATACATCCAGCTTGATATGAAAAATAAACACATAGATGTAATTATGTTATAGTCAGTTTCATGCTATTTGAATATGCTACTTAATTCATTTTGTCATCCAACAATTTTCTGTTGCCCTACTTCATTTATTGAAGCATTTCTCTTCTGCTTCCATGTCTCTCTCCAAACCAATTTCTATACTCATACTGAAAAACTTCAAGATCGTGACACAGAACTCATCTATCCAGAGTATCTCAGTTCTCTGATCTCAACATATAGTATGTTCTTGTCCCTTACATCTCTTCAGCAACATCAGATTATTTTGTCATTAGAAGCCAGCAACATTTCTTACTAAAGTCATTGAATATAATGGCCTTTTAACCCATCTCCTTGCTTCCATGGTGGCTCACCTTCAATCTACTCTGCAAACTAGAGTGATCTTTTAAAAAGACAAATAGAATTATACCATTTCTTTATTTAAAACCTTTGACAGAAATTAGGTTTCTGGTTCAACATGAAAAGAGCTTGGAACTCCATCACTCCTGTCCTACAATAAGAAAAAAAGCTAGACAAATTGAAAATCAATGACTTTTCTTGGCCCCATCAAAGAAATGAGGTCATAAGGCAAACTGACATCCTGAAATCTGGAGAGACAAGGACGTCCAGAGAGTTATATTAATAGCATCTGAGCTTGCTTACCTGGAGTAGAAGCCGAAGGGCTCCATTAATTAATTACACAATAATTAAATTGTACATATGTTTAAAGCAAGATTCAGTATTGAGCAAAATTGACAGAAATATAAAAAATATAAATAAGAATACATGCCAACAATTGTTTAATTCTCACTTATTAAGCTTAGCTTTTTGTCTAGTCATGATATTCTCTATTGTCTTTACATAGTGTTTTCAGGCACTGGAAAGTCCTAGCATCTCAGTTGACCCTTAGCTTTTGGCAAGACACCTGCCTTTAAAGCCCTTACTGCACTTTTTCTTGCTGTCAACGTTAATTAAAAATTACTGATGGCATGGCTTCTTTATGTCTTTCAGTTCAGTTTCACTAGATAGGCAATCCCTCTCCAGAAAGAGAAGGTTATTCTCAGGGAACGACTGAAATAATGTCTCCAGATTTGATCTTTTCTCTTTCAGATGAAATAAAGGTAATCCTCTGTCTCTTTCATCAGTTTTCTTAGTTTTTTCTAAACATATGACCTTCCTCCAGGAAAGAAACAAATAAAATAAAGACAAAAAAAGCCCTTATCTTTGTGACCAAATTGCTATTCAACTCCCTTTCTCCTTTATCAATGCTCAATTAAGAGAGAATATTTTCTTCTATTTTTTTCAGTTTTGCAATCTTGTTAGACCAACTTGATTTTTCTTTGAATATTGTAAATATGTCTGGCCATGGAAAGGTAATTACAGTGATTGCCTCACAATGGCTATTTTAGTAACTGTGCTTGACATGTATTCATGGCGTATAATGTCATGCAATAATTCACAGTGACAATACTTCCAAGTATCACTTATACCTTTTAAAAAACTTAGTTACTATACAGATTTGTGCAATGGTAAGTCACTTTTCGTGTAGAAACCCCAGTAAAAATGTATGCAGGTGAAGGCCTTGTCATATATTTAGCAATTCTGCCTCTTTTAAGACTTTTGAAAAGTCACCTACTCCCAGCTCCATTTATTGTGCTTATAGTACTTATCTCATATTTTAGTGTGTCTTTACTTATCTGGTTCTCCTAATAACTTAAGGCTTATTGTGAGCAATGGCTTGGTCTTTTTGTATGGTTTTAACATTTAGCATAACTTCATGCGTAGGGACTCCAGTAAATATTTGTTAAATGAGTAAATGAATGTATGAAGCAATGATTGTATGTATACATGGAGAAATGAATAGAAAGAATTAGTAGTCATTCCTCAGTATCTTCAGGGGATTTATTTCAGGGCTTCCTTTTATCTGGAGATAAAAATCTGAAGATACTGAAGTCCCAGATCAAAAATGATATAGTATTTGTATATAACCTATACATATTCTCCCCTATAATTTAAATTATCTCTAGATTACTCACAATATGAAATATAATGTAAATGCTACATAAATACTTGTTATACTGTATTTTTAGGGAATAATGACAAGAAAATAGTCTGTATATGTTTAATACAGTTACATATTTTTCAAAATATTTTCCATCTGCAGTTGGTTGAATCCACGAATGTGCAACCCGCAAATATGTTAGGCTGACCATATATTAAACATAGTTAGTATACTAATCAGTAGTATTAGTATGACGGGAGATATAGAAATCTTTTTGATTTTAGAAAGAAGCCAGTAAGTAAACCAACTTCTGGGTTCAGCAATGCCTGGAAGAGACTAGTCTGTTTCTCAGTAGTGCCCCCTCCTCGGTTGCCTCCTGTGTCACACTGTAAATTAGCTCCTCCTCAACAGCAACTGTTGTTGTTACCTCCTTCAGTTTCCTGTCCAATTATATGTGGTTGAAAAGATATGAGAGAAAATATGTCTCTTAAATAAAACAAAAAAAAAAAGTTTGGGGCGGGGGAGAAGTAGCTAGCAAAACTTGTTTCTCTGATTTCCCTACTTAAAAATAGCAAGTATTATATGTCATTCTACTTTCTTCAATGTCCAGAGATCTCAAACAGTTTTTTACATATTTTTAGGATGGTCCAGAAGAAAAGTCTTGAGTGTACTAAGTTATGCCACAAATTAACATAGGCTAAAAAAATTACTCATGTGAAGCCTGGAGATTGGTGTCTAAAACACATTTTGCTCTTTGTATTATGGAAGTAAGGAGGAAAGATCATTGTCAAAGCAGAATTTTGCTGCAGCTCTATGATAAGCTCTGTAATTAGAATAAGCAAAGTATCCAAGAACAAAGATTTTTAAAATTGGCTTGCAGTGAGTGCAGGTGATGAAGCAGCTGGCAGAGTTAATAACATACCTTCTATAATTGCCAAAGACCTAGTTCCAAACAGAGTGGATAATGCCATGTTGGAAAGAGATGAAGAGAAAATTAGATAGAGATGAGGGGGCAGAATGCATGGGGGTGCAAATAAGTTGTAGGAGTGGGCAAAGACTGAATGGGCATGTGGACAAGTAGCCTCAAATTGAGGATATGGAAAGACAAATTTGGGGAAGAAGTGCAATGACTATGAGATAAGAGGACTGGAAATACATAGAATATTTTCAAGTAAATAACATTTTGAACGGAGAACAGTTCTGGTTGCTAGGGCTGAGGCTGTTTTTGGCTCTGAATAGTCTGAATTGGAAGCAGCATGTTTGGAGAACTCTTGAGACTGATTCTCAATGTTTATTTGCACACTTAGTGGTAAATATAGGACTAAGTATTTAGACTGGAGAAGAAAAAATAGAGAAGGATTAGCTTGAATTAATAGTTGATTATTGAAATGTCATAGGACAAAGAGAGATGGTAGTCTAGTATGTTTAAAAAGAAGGGGAAACTGGGAATCAGCTTCAATTGATTAAAAATTCATTCTGCAAAAAATGTTGCCAAACCCTCTATTCTATCAGAAATAGCTATAGTGTTGTCATCACATGGAATCTATGTTTAATGTCCTATTATATTCTGCCTGTTTTCGTAAGTAATCCTCCAGTAGTCTTAGCTATGTAGGTGGAAAGGGTTTGTTTGTGGGATGTACCAAAATATAAAAGTAATCCTAATAGTACTTTAGATACAGGTTAATATAAGACAAATAAAACACATTGTTAAAAAGCAGAACCAAAATACAAAGACCATGGAAAACAGACAATTTAACACCGGCTGGCATCAATGAAGTGTAATGGAAAAAATCTGCTAGCTCTATTATAGTTTTGATTACAGAAGCATTTTACTGACTAAACACCCTTGAAAGTAAGACAAACTGCATTACAATTATCAAGAAGAAAGGACTGTGTAGGCACCAAACATAGTAGCCTTGGATGCCAAGTGTATTTCCATCTTATAATGTGAAGCTAATAAAAAGGAATCAGAGGTACCTGATAGCATGATTCCAGAATAAGACAGCCCCAAGAGTGACTCTGGGCAGGAAAGTTGATATAATTTTTGGTGGGGGTGAGTGGGGAAGAGAGGGTTCTAGTGAAAGAAGCAGTTTTGTTTAAATATCTAAATCCAAGTTTGAGATCTTCCTTAAAGCTGCAGAGCTCTGGTTCTTCTGCTTTATCTGGATGCATGATCAAGATGAATAATCATGGAGACTCATTCCCAAGTTGCTGATACACAGTTGCCTCACCTGTTTTATTATAGAGTCAGCATTGCATTGCAGAGGAAACTCTGGATAAGCTTATTCTCCTGTTTCCTGGTGAGTCGGTTTGTGTTCAACACAGTTCAGGAAGTCCTATTGCTAAGTTATTCTCCAGGTGCTCAGTGCTTCTCAGAGAGGTAAGGGCATGCCCAAAAGGACAAGTGGAATAGGGTAGCAACATAGTCCCTTTGTGAAAAGAAAACTGAATACATGCAAGTATCCAGCAAATAACTAGGGTAAGAAGGAAGTAGAAACAGAGAAAACTATTTTAAAATGTAAAAGAAGAAGAAGAGAAAAAAGGAAAGCAAGAGTTGGAGAAATTCCATCTCCTGGTTGGGCAATGTGGCCTGTTCCTGGAATCCCTGTCACTGTGTTCTGCTTGTCTGTCAGGGGGCTTCATGTAAAAGCTGCTTGTTCACGCATCTGTGTCTCCCCTGGATCCCTTTACCCCTTCCAACAGCACCGTCTGCCTACTTGGTATCCCTGAGGTCTATTCCCACCCTTCCAGATCTAAGTTCCAATTTGCCAGACAAGATGACCCCAAGAATTTGCAATTGTGCTTATCCAGTGGTACCCGTCCACCACAAGGAGGCACAGCCTCTGAGTCTGCTCCTTTTCCTCCAGGTTCATAACTGGGAAACTGGGACTAGTGTGGTTCATGACGGGACCATCTATGCCGAATAGTTTGTTGAATTTTTAGATGTTAGAATATCAGCATGCTGTTTCAGCGATGATTTTTTTTCTTAAACATTTGCTCATTTCTGGAGTTTACCCAAACTTGTATAGTAAGGGAACTAAGCTGCCTCAAGATGGCAGGCATAACAATATCAGTTCTCCATTTTTTTTTTAATTTTGAATTTTCCTGGCCCAGTGGTTGAGTTTGCTGCTAAACTAAATAATTCTTTATATTTGGAATTGTTTTAAGTGAATTTCAGTTAAGCAAGGTTTACATGGAAGAGTGTTGAGTTTCTGTGACAAGCGACAGATGGGAAGGCCAAATGCTGACAGCTATGGCAGCTATATATCTGAAACAGGAAACATTTTTTAAGAATTGATATAGTCATCTCTGCTATCCAATTCACTTTGAGTACTAAGAGCAACTAGGAATCAGATGCAAAAAATTTCTAAAGAAAAAAAATACGTGTACTCACCTAGATTCCCCTGTTATTTTTGTTGTTATGGTTGTTAGACCCCACTGCCAATATGGGTACAAAGAAAAAAGTGGTTTCCACTGTTCAGCTTCCATGTTCTGTTCCTTGCACCTTGGAGATGCATATTCCTTGTACACGAGGTGAAAAAGAGGATTTGGCTGAACATCCCTCTGCTCCATTGTGTTCTCACTCTGAGATACCCTCAGGCCAAAAACTGTGGTATTGCACCTCCACGGTGGAAAGATGCTGCTATATCAGGAGGAATGAAAAGTGAAGTGAATATAGGCTAGCAGATTTCTGTTGGTCCTTGGTAGGCTGGTCAGTTTTGCAGAAATAACTCACGTGTTCTGATTTTCAGTGCTTTGGTCCCAGTCCCAGCATGGTATATATTCATGACCTTGGGCCGGACACTTTAGCTTCCTAAGTCCCAGGGTCTTCATCTGCCAAAGGAAGATAAATATTTGCACTTTCCTATTTCTAGGATTGTTGTGATACTCAAATTAGGTGGCTTATGAAAAACATCTTAGTAATCTTTATTGAGCTATAGTATTGCCACCAAACCCCCATTTGGCATCTTCACAGTAAGTCTAAAAAAGAGGACTTGGGATTGAAGAGAGGTGGAATTCCTACTGAGAGGTTCATGCTTACTCTCCGTAGCTGTCCTAAAAAGTTGATGGGTTAAACATCAAGGGCTGAGACACAGCCTCTGCCTGTCACATCCAATCTGTGTCACTTCTCAGCTGCTAGCACAAAAACTTCGTGACAAAACAAGCTGGAAAGAATATTTGGCAACAATCAGTCTTTATTCCACTCCCCTCCTAGCCTTGCTGCCCAATCTCAAATACAAGGGGTGTTTTGTTGTGTTTTGTTTCCTTCCAATATGAAGTATCTTGCACGTGGTTGAGAAAACACCAATTAATTCCCCAGCAGCAGAGGCTGTTGTCTCAGACCTTGATGTTCAACCCATTAACTTCTTAGGACAGCTATTGAGAGTAAGAATCAACATCTAGGTAGGAATTCCATGTCTCTGCAATCCCAAGTCCTCTTTTTTCAGACCTATTGTGAAGATGCCAAATGGGGGTTTGGTGTCAATACTGTAGCTCATTACGTATTACTAAGACGTTTCTCATAAGATGTTTCTCATTGAGAAATTCTTGGAATTGAATTTCTCAAAGCCACCAAAGCCAAATTTTTGAAAGTCTGACACAGTGCCCTTAAATAGAGGCTCAAGAGTCTATTTTTTGGATAATGCTCTATGTATTACAATAAACATCAGTCAACTTTTGGCACTGAAAATATACCTTCTGTGACACAGGACAAATAGGCAGGTATTATCTGTTCAGCACTTAAACATGGGTAGTAGTCATGAGGTCAGGATAGTTTCAAGATCTGGGTGAATCTTGATATTATTAAAGATAACTAGTTACCTTTCCTATCTTACCTATTCATTCCCTCTCCCACACCCATATGCACATCTAAATCATTACAAGGCCTTTTGAATGTACCATCTGAATGCCTTTTGAATCTGTATTCTCTACGGATTTTTTTCTTGCCTCACATGAACCATTACAATAGCTATCAAGCAATTTACCTCTTTGCAGCCAATTTTCCTCCTGCCAATACATCCTTTTCCCATTCTGCTACCAGAATCTGACTTTGTCATTCCTTTGCTAATTCTCTGGTGATTCCGCAAACCCACAGGATTATGTCCAGAATTCCTACCATGGACTACAAGGCCTTATTGTTGCACTCAATGGGACTATGATTCTCAAGTATGGTTCTGAGACCATCAGCCTCCAAGCAAACCAGAACATTTCTTAAAAATGAATATTTGTGATGTTGAGAATTTTTTATATGCTTGGTCAGCCATTTGCATGTCTTCTTTTGAAAAGTAATCAATCATGTCATTTGCACACTTTTTATTGTGGTTATTTCTGGGTTTTGTTTTGTCTTGTCTTGTTTGAGTTCTTTTTAAATTCTGAATATTATTCCCCTGTTGGATGCATAGTTTGTAATTATTTTCTCTCATTTTTCAGGTTGTCTGTTTACTTTGTCGATTATTTCTTTTGCTGTACAGAAGACTAAGTCCCATTTGTCTATTTTTATTTTTGTTGCGCATGCTTTTGAGGTCTTAGTCATGAATTATTTGCTTAGACCAATGTCCAGAATAGTTTCCCTTAGGTTTTCTTCTAATATTTTTATAGTTTCAGGTCTTAAATTGAAGCATTTAATCCATTTTGAGTTGATTATTTTAATGGTGAAAAATAAAGGTTCAGCTTCATTCTTCTCAATAGAGCAATCTAATTTTTCCAGCACAATTTACTGAAAAAGATGTACTTTTGCCAGTGTATGTTTTTGCTGATTTTGTCAAAGATCAGTTGGTTGTAGATATGTGACTTTATTTCTGGGTTTTCTATTTTTTCTATTGATCTACTTTTATACTAGTACCACAATATTTTGGTTACTATAGCCTTATAGTATAATTTGAGGTCAGGAATGGGATGCCTACAACTTTGTTTGATTTGTTTAGGATTTTTGGTGGGTCTTCAGGGCTTTATAGATGTAAAATCATATCATCAGTGAGCAGAGATAATTTCTTATTTCCCAATTTGGATGCTTTTTATTTCTTTCTCTTGCCTGATTGCTCTTGCTAGAACTTCCAGTATTATATTGAATAAGAGTGGTGAAAGTTGGCATCTTTGTCTCTTTCCAGTTTTTAAGGGGGAATACTTTCAACTTTTCCCAACTGAGTATGATGTTGACTGTGGAATTTGTCACATATGGCTTTCATAATTTTGAGGTATCTTCCTTCTATGCCTAGGTTGTTTGGGTTGTTATCTTGAAGGGGTGCTGTATTTATCAAATGTTTTTTCTGCATCTATTGAAATGAACATATGGTTTTGTCCTTAATTCTGTATCGCCAACCATCAGACAAATGCAAATTAAAACCATGATGAGATTATCTTACACCAGTCATAATGGCTACTATTAAAGGGTAAAAAATAGCAGACATTAGTGAGGATATGGAGAAAAGGGAATGCTTATACACTGTTGGCAGAAACTTAAATTAATACAACCTCCAGGAAAACTAGTATGGAGATTGATCATATAACTAAAAATAGAACTACCATTCAATCCAGCAATCCCACTACTACATATCCCAAAGGAAGATAATTATATCAAAAAGATACCCATACTCCCATGTTTACTGCAGCACTATTCACAACGGCAAAGATATGGAATCAACCTAAGTGTCCATCAATGGATGATTAAAGAAAATATGAATATACACAATCAAATACTATTCAGTCACTAAAAAGAATGAAATCATATCTTTTACAGCAACATGAATGGAAATGGAGGCCATTATCTTAAGTGAAACAACTCAGAAACAGAAAGTTAAATATTGCATGTTCTCATTTATGAATGGGAGCTAAATAATGTGTACACATGGACATAGAGTATGGAATGATAGACACTGAAAACTCAGAAGGTTGGAGAGGACAGGAGGGTGTGGTTAATGAGAAATTACTTAGTGGGTACAATGTGGGTAATGGATACCCTAAAAGCCAAGACTTCATCACTATGCAATATGTCCATGTAACAAAATTGCTCTTGTACCCCTTACATTTATACAAATTTTAAAAAAATGAATATTCCAGGGCCCCACCTCAAAGTGCTGAATTGGGATTTTGGGGAAAGATCCACCAAATCTGCATTTTAAACAATACTCCCAGGTTACCTTTACATGTAATAAAGGAAGAGCCATTATAATACAGCATGAATTTTAAAAATTCTTGGGGACAAGAAAGCAACTGTATCTATTCTCTCTGTGTCTAATCCCGTGTTTTCCTACTATTTACTCAGTAAATATTTGTTTAATAAAAGAAAGCTATAAAATGAAACTAAATCAAAATTCACCCATTGGGATAATTGTTAAGTGGAGACAGGCATGAAGAAACTTTATGGTGTGCTGGGAATATTCTCTATTGGTCTGGATTATGGCTTCACATATGTATATGAAAGTGAAAATTCACTTAAGATTAATGCATTTCATACACTTAACTATATATGTGTTATATGATCCACCTCTCTAGCTACCAAGGCTTAATTCCTTAGCCATTACAAATTATCTTTCTCATCCTCACAAAAAGTAAGTTTTCCCTCCTTTTCCATTTCAATGACACTGCTTTATTCAGACCTTTATTACCTAGAATTCAATTATAATTATGCCATCTTAACCCAGTTTAAACCCCAATTGGCTCTGTATTGCATACAAATTCTCCTTATATTTGACCTTTATTACCTGATGCTACAAAAACAACCATAACATAAAATTTATTCTTTTAACAATTTCCAGTTGTACAGTACAATGTTGTCAACCACATGCACATTGTTGTGTAACAGATCCCCAGAACAGCTCATATCCTGCATGACTGAAACTCTATACCCCCTGAACAGCAACTCCTTAGCTCCCCTTCTTCCAGCCCCTGGCAACCACTATTCTGCTTTCTGTTGTTATGAATTTGACAGTTTTATATACTTCATGTAAGCAGAATTATGCAGTATTTTTCTTCCTGTGACTGGCTTATTTGACTTAGCATAATATCCTCGAGGTTTATCTATGTTGCAGCATGTGACAGATTTCCTACTTTTTAAGGACTAAATACTATTCCATTGTAGGTATGTAACACATGTTATTTATTCATTCATCTGTAGATGGACATTTGGGTTACTTTCACTTCTTAGCTACTGTGAATAGTGCTGCTATGAACATGGTATATAAATATCTCTTCAAGGCCCTACTTTGAATTATTTTGGATATATGCCCAATTTGATTAATGAATCAGGAGTTAGTTTTAATTTTTAATAGCAGCCATACCATTTTAAATTCCCACCAACAGTGCACAGGATTCCAATTTCTTCACATTCTCACCAACAATTATTATTTTCTATGTGTTTTTTATAGTGGCCATCCTAACATGTAGGAGACAATATCTCATTGTGCCTTTGATTTGCATTTCCCTAAGGATTAGTTATGTTGAGTATCTTATATTTTTTTTGGTCACTTGTGCAAGTTCTTTGGATATATGTCTATTGAAATCCTTTGTCCATTTTTTAATTGAGTTGCTTGTTTTTTGTTGTTGAGTTGTGGGAGTTCTTTATCTAGACTGGCCATTAACCCCTTATCAGATATATGATTTGCAAATATTTTGTCCCATGTGGTAAGTTGCCTTTTCACTCTGTTGAGTATTTCCTTTGTCATTCAGAAGTTCTTATCTTTGATGTAGTCCCATGTGGCTATTTTTGCTATTGTCCTTGGTATGATACCCGTGAATTCATTGTGAAGACCAATATCATAATGCTTTCATTTATGTTTTCTTCTAAGATTTTAATAGTTTCAGGTATTAGATTTAGGTCTTCAATTCATCCATTTTGAGTTGATTTTTGTATATGGGCTAAGATAAAGGTTTAACTTCTTTCTTTTGCATGTGGAAATCCAATTTCTTAACCCTAATAGTTGAAAAGATTCCCCTTTTCCCATTGCATAGTCTTGAAACGCTGCTCAAACATTTACTATATGTGAGGGTGTACTTCTTGGCTCTCTGTTCTCTTCCATTGGTTTATATGTCTGTCTTTATGCCAGTACTACGCTGTTTTGATTACTGTAGCTTTGTAATATGTTTTCAAATCAGGAAGTGTGAGTTCTCTAGTTTTGTTCTTTTTGCTCAGAATTATTTTGACTATCGTGGTCCTCTGAGATTCCATATGAATTTTAGGATTGCTTTTTCTGTCTTCTCAACTTACTTTGGCTGTTTGTCCTTCTCTCTTGGCCTCAAATTCTTATGTGCCCATTCTTAATTCATACTCTTTGAGCATTACTTCCTGCATCTGTGTCTACTCATCCTTATTGTCTGGAATACCCTCCTCTCATTCTTATTTTCTGAAAGTCTATACAGCCTAGCTGCGATGCTGAAGTTTACTTAAAGCTGCCTCTGATCATCTTTCCTGTTTAAAAGAATCTCTCACTTTTTACAATATTGTTGATGTATGACTGCCTAGTGATCAAAATAACTTGAGTTTGGCAAGCCTCCAAGTCCACAGAAGTATCAAGGTGGTGGAGAAGAGCACTTTGTAATGTCCTCTAGGAACCATAGTTCTTTCACACTGTGCAGGAAGATAAAAAGATTCAGGACAATTAGTCTACATTAAATACGGAAAAGGAGCTAGCTCTCAATTTCCTGTCTGATTTTCACACTTCTGGCTGAATGGAAGACTGGCCCTTGCACATAGTTGAGATTGCTGCACTTTCCATTCTGTGTTACCATCAGATATGAGCTCAAAATCATCAGAGGATTTGAGAGAGCAACACAAAGGAGGCTCTTCTTCCATTTATAAATGTAGTTTATTTGTGTATAAATCCAGACATATGAGACATTTTAAGATATGTGTAAGTAAAATTATTATTTTAATGTTTTTATTTGTAAAATAATTTCATTGGAAAAATACTTTTACATATATTTTTGATCCTAACAATAGTTCTATGAAGGTAGTGTTATTACTATACCCATTTTTTTAAAAAAATGAATTAATATGCCATTCAGAGAGGTTAAATAGACTGTGTAAGATTTTATAGAGAGTGGAAAACAGGAGATTCAGATTTGGAATTTCTTATAACTTTTGCACTTCGAAGTAAAATCAAACGTTTTTAATATTATAATTTTACTTAAGTTTTTCAAATTGCAGCTAGAAGTAGAAGGTGCACACATATATTCATACATATCATACACATGCACATATATCACTTACGTGCATATTTATAAGTATAATGAGTTCACATTTTCTGAAAGCTAAACCTGTACTGAGATTTTCATTTTGAACAAACTGCGTAGAGAATAGAGTGTAAGGTTTATCATACTCATTATATGTGCTTTTAAGAGTTAAAGCTGTTGGAAATATCAACTTCATGTAGATCTCTTAAATTAAAGTGTATGTAGACAGTGGGACTCCATTAATGATCTTAGAATTTCTTGAGGCCTTATATATTAAAGAAAAAACAAACAGTGGGTATGTCCTGATCCTATCTTTAAATCAGACTATTCTTATTTCAGTACTACAGTATTTTCCCTAAATGAGCTATAAGACCCTGATTTTGTGTTCCAAGGAAGGCATAACATTAATAATAGTAACAATAGAAGTAAAAAATGGCTATAATTTATTTTGTATTCTATGCCAATATTTTGTCACTTAATCCTCATAATTACCATATGCCATTAATATTACCATTGTATAGGGAAGACAAGTGAGATAAGGAGAAGTTACATAACTTTTTCATCATCAAAAGTGAGAAAGTTGCAGTGGTGGGATTTATCCTAGTCTACTTTCGTCCTCCAGGTAAAGCAGGTTTCAAGGTGATGATTACAGGGATCAAGAATGAGGAACTAGGGAAAATAAAACTGGGAAAAATAAATAGTCACTTTAAGAGCTTATTTTCCAGATGGTCACTGCCATAATAGAGCTCGATCCCATCAGAATATTCTACAAGAAGAGAGACAACCAAACAATTCTCAAAATTTCCCACCAAAGGATTGACAGATGCAATCATTTTCTTCCTGGTTCCAATCTTTCTTCATTGGGTATTACCCAGGGAGCTTTAGTCCTGTCCCTGCCCCCTCCCCCAACACACACTCTTTCTTCCTGGACTGTACATCCTTCCTGCTAGTGAGTTCCAACTGGATCCCCATGCTTTAGCATTGAAGAAGCCTCAGGTCAGAGAGAAAACTGTGGAGGAGTAAGTTAAAACCCACATAGCTTTCTTTCTTTTAATCAAGCTAGACTTGGAATCAAATATGAGGTTGAGAGGATGTGAGGCAAGACTTAAGGAAAATTTAATATAGTTCATATCTTTTATTGCTAAAAACTGTTTGTTCCTTACTTCAAGACCTAAATCATCATGTCTTCAAGGTAGAGAGTAACTGCAGTTTACAAAAGACTTAATATTCAGTGGTTAATGGAACAAGTGTTTTGCAACTGTTCCGTAGTTAAAATTCATCTTTTCTCTTTCCACCACTCTTTCTAGATTATTTTACCCTCAGCCAAAACTTCAGCTAGTCTAGGCTGCTTGCCTGAAAGGGTAGCCCAGATCTTCCTCCTAAAGTTATCTGAGACTTGTTGGGCTAAGTTTCCTGCAATTGCACATTCACCATTATCACCAGACCCCAAAGCACCAAGATGCGTCTGAGTGAATTTCTTCAGTAACACATACAGTCCTACATGCTGCTATTAAGGAAGCACAATTCTTTTTACCTATAATAAGGGTAAATTTCCTATAACAATAGGAACTATTTTGTTGGTATCTGGTCACTGATGCTAGCTGGTACTTAAAATATTAGTTTGGTGGAACCCTTACTGAATCCACCTCTAGTGGGTTTGTTTCTCTACTCTAGAAATGAAGGCCTTTAATTCATCAAACCCTAGTGTATCAGGGATGAGAATGTAAATTCCTCATGGAGATCATTAGAAATGATGATGAAAAATACCAATCTTTTACCCTTTGGTTTTCAGAAGCAAGTATTTTAGATAGTGGAGGATAAGTGGCTGTATAATGGCTATTGGTTTAGTTTATATACTGACTGCTATAGGACACAGTTCTCCAAACCTGCATGAGGTTGAATTGGAGAATTCCATAGCTGGGCCTCTAATAGGCCACTTCATGATTCGATTAATTATTCTACTTCTAGGTGATGTGGTATGTGGGTAAGACTTTTATAACTTAATAATAATAAGATGAACAACACAACTTAAAAATGGGTAAAATGTTTCAGGAATTCACAAGTTAAGATACGCAAATGGCCGGTAATCAGATGAAAGGCTCTCAACTCTCCAGAGTGTTAATGAAAAACACAAATTTCCAGAGTGTTATTAGAAAAACACAAGTTAAAACAACACTACACTAAGATACTACTTCAGATTCATTAGAATGGTTTAAATTTAAAAAGACTAACCATACCAAGGGTTGCTGAGGATGTGAAACAACTGGAACTCCCCTATATTGTTGCTGGAAAATGAGTTCTGAAAAGATAATTAAACACCCATTCCTATATATCCCAGCAATTCTACTTTTAAGTGTTTTACCAGAGAGAAGTGAAATTATATATCCACATAAAGGATTGTTAGCAGTGTTCTTAGAAGCTTGTTGATATTAGCTCAGAACTGGAAACAACTGAAATGTGCATCAGCAGATGAATGTATAAACAAATTGTGGCATATGTAAACAATGAGATAATTCAGCAATAAAAATGCATAAAATACTGCTATATATGATAACATGTATAAAACTCAAAAATATTATGCTGAGGAAAAGAAGAGAAAACCCAACACATGAGAGTACATACTGTCTGTTTTCATTTATATGATAATTCTAGAACAGGAAAAACTGATCTATAGATATTACATTAGCAGTTGCCTGAGGTGGAGAGTGGGGATAATTTACTGCAAAGGGCACAGGAGACATTTTATGGTGATAAAAATGTTTCTTTTTTGCTTTCACTTTTTAATATTTTGGTTATAATTGAAACATAATTGTACATGTTTATGGGGTACAGTATGATGTTTCAGTACATATATCATGTATAATGATCAAATCAGGATAGTTAGCATATCTATCACCTCAAACCTTTATGATTTTTTGTGGTGATAACTTTCAAAATCCTCTTTTCTAAATATGTTGATATATACAATACATTGTTATTAGCTATAATCAGCCTACTATGGACTAAAACACCAAAATCTCCTCCTTCTCTCTAACTTTGTACCTGTTGACCAGCCTCTCCCTATCCTCTCTCCCTTCTCATCGCCCCAGCCTCTGGTAACCACAATTCTACTCTCTACTTGTATGAGATCAACGTTTTAGATTTCACACAGGAGTGAGATATTGTAGGATTTGTCTTTGTGTCCTTGACTTAATTCACTATTTTTTTAAATTTTTACTTATTTCACCATTTTGTGTATATACCACATTCTCTTTATCCATCCATTAATGGACACTTAGATTGATTCCATCTCTTGGCTACTGTGAATAGTGCCACAATAAACATGGGGATACAAATATCTCTTTGGCATATAGATTTCATTTTCTTTGGATACATACTCAGTAATGGAATCTATGGATAATATGGGAGTTCTATTTTAATTATTTGATGAATTTCCATAATGCTTTTTGTAACGTAATGTACGAATTTACATTTCAACCAACAGTGTGTTAGCGTTCCCCTTCCTCTGCATTCTCACTAGCATTTGTTATTTTTTTTGTCTTTTTGATGATAGGCACTGTAACTGAGGTGAAATGATATCTCATTGTGGTTTTAGTTTGCATTTCCCTGATGATTAGTGATATTGAGCATTTTATAATATACTTGCTGTCCATTTGTTGGCTTTCTTTTGAGAAATATCTATTCAGATCTTTTGCCCATTTTTTAATTGGAATTTCTAATTTGTTGGCATATAGTTGTTCATAATGGAAATATTTTGGGATCCTATTAGGGTGGACATATGTGTCTGCATTTATCAAAACTCATGGAACTATACACTTAAAATGTGTATGTTTTGTTGTATGTAAGTTTTACCTCAATAAAGTTGATTAAAATTTCTAAAGCAACCCATCAAATGCTGTAGACTATCAGAATGTTGAAGATTTATGGACCTTCCTGGTAGTATATTCGAATTGGCTCTAAGTATCTAGGATAGGAAACTAAATCCTGTGTCATCGGAGAATCCTTCTAAGCAAATTACTTCTTCTTAGCCACCCTTATATTCTGCCCCTCAATCCAATACTCAATGAATACAGTGATTCATTGTATATATTAGCCCAAACTTGTAATTCTTTTGGAGGATATGTTATTCCTTTTCAGAGTAGGAACTGTGCTTCCTTTCTTGGGCTTTGGAGAGATCTGGTTCTAGTTATTGCTTTATGAGAATAAGGAGAGGTGTGCTGAATGTCTGAAAAAAGAAACATGAACTTGCAAGGTATTTGCCTCAGGTGAGTTCTTTGGGCTTCAGGCAAGGGAAGGCTGCTGTCCTCCTTAAAAAAAAAAAAATGGTTTTGCTTCTCCTGACCAAAGGATTTAATAAAATTTTAGAGTTCAACCTTCTTAGATTTGTCTACCCAAATATTCCTATGCCAGTTACCAGGTTTATATTTCTCCTCTATCAAGACTCCTTTAGCATAGGAGTCATGTTACGTTAGTCCCCTTGAAGGTTCCATCACTTCAAAGTGACAAAAAGTAAATCCTGGATTTCATCTTAAAAACAGGTTGCCCTGTGGCTGCAGAAGAGGTTTCTTGGCACCGTTCAATGGAGGCCTTTATGGCTTTCACAGCTAACTCTGAGTTGATATACTTTTTTCTTGTTTCAATGTTTCTAGTGCTGCTAACAGCCTGCTTTATGATTAACACAACGACCTATTCTGTTCAATAGCTCACATTACCCCAAGTTTACTTTTCACCTGTGTATCATTCCATCCTGCCACAGGTAACAGTATGAATTGTATTATCACCATCCCACTTGTCACCAGCAATTGGTGAGTGACTCAGGTCCAGAATTTCACCATAGAATTTTAATTTCTAAGGATACTTCTGGTATCCGTTTTCTTAATATGGGTTCTACCAGCCAATTCACTCCCCTCACCCCCAAAAGAAATAAAAGCAGAGACTGAAACAAAAGCTTATAAGTATGAGCAGGTAGTTTAACTTGGAAGGCAATCACAGGGAATAGATGTAAGAAACTAGGCAGAGTTTAATAGGCAAGGACAAAAAGTCAATATAGGAACGTTGTGGAGTTAATCACCATTGTGAAAAACTGGAGGTCAGTCCTGCTGGGATCTTCTGAAGATATATGAAATGCTTCTCAGAATTGTGAATCTAAGAATGGACAGGGAAGAGTATTCATACACTGACTTCCATCTCAGATTGGTTGAACATTACCCCAGAGGTAGGTCCCCCATATTATGTAACTGTATATGGGTCATCCTGTAACAGCTCCCATGGAGCTCCATGATTTGGCATTGGAGAAGTCACGGGAAAGCAAGCAAAGATGTGTGTCATGTCTTGGTGGAAATGCCGTAAGTGGAAAGTGAGCCAAAGCCCATCTGGAAAAGTTCGTTGCAGTTGTGGCTGGAATCATTGGTGAGGCCCTAGCAATACGAGGTGGGACACAGGAAGTATCTGATACAGGATTCAAACATAGACTTATTTGACTCTACAGTCCAGATATGAGATTATATATAATATCTCCACTGAATCCAACAAAAATTTGACCCTCAGAAATACTTTGTCCCCAAATATCTTCATTAGTTTGGGTGAATTTAAAATCATAATATTTATAACATCAACAGGTATGTGATAGAGTTTAACAAGGCTTTGCAGACAGAAATCCAGAATATTTTCCAAGGATCTTTCTTTAAGCTGCTGTGTGGTGAAACTCAGTATAAAACAAGTTTAAAAATAACTAAGAATTAGCACACAGTAAGGGTCATACAAATATACTGAGATGGAACTCATGTTTTCTAAGGCTTCTATGAGAACATAATTCTTTCAGAACCTTTCACAGCCAGAATTAATTTATAAGCATTATTCCCTTAGGTTTTAAGTCATGGCCTATGGACCTGAAGAATAATGTGGCAGAACTAATGTTTGTGTTTTGGCAAGAATTTATTTATTTTTCAGAAATGCTAAAAGTGAATCACCCCTTTCAAGCTTAGAGGAATATAATTAATTAGTACAGAGAAGATGAAAAATCCTTCTCCAGAATTGGAATCAAGTAATGTTGATATGAAGAAACAGGCTCTCACATAGTTGGAAACTCCAGAGCTGTACTCAGACTAAGGTCACCAGATCTCAGTCTAATTTTATTCTGAAAATATGTAGGATTTAGTATCAGAAGATGTGGGTTAAAGCTTCCACCTCTTATTCAACACAGGATATTATGCATCCATCTTTCTTTAGCTTCCAAGATACTCATTCATAATGTGGGGATAATTAAGACAACCCTTCCTACCTTATGGGGCTGCTGTAAGGGTTAAAGTTTCTAGTGTTTATAAAGCCCTGTGCAAATGTTTGCTGTTGTGGTTGTAGTGGTTACTAGATGAAGCCCTAGATAAACTGTGGTTTGACTTCCAGACCTTCTTGTCTTCAAGTTCATTGTTTTCTCCTTCCTCCATAATTTTCCTGTCCTGCTGACTTCCAGCTTATCACAGTTATGCTCTTTCCTCTCACCATACTCCCATTATTACTTGCTCTCCTGTGCAGCTGTCTTTTATAAATGGAGCTGATGAACAAATTCAGGCGAAGATGCAAATAACTGATTCCAATTTTTAGTGTTAATCTCCCTCCTTCAGGTTCTTTGTCCCTGACAAAGAACTTCGAAGGTCAGAACTGAGAGGACTATAGAAGATCAAATAATTTCCCTCTTCCTATAAAGAAGGAAAACTAAGCCCAGAGTTCAAGGAACTTGCCTCAGGTCACAAAACGAGTTAGTAAGAAAGCCATTTTTTGGAGTCATTCTGCTAATTCACTCTCCAGTGAGATTTTACTTCAAGTAAAATGAAGTAAATTTGGGGAGCATGGTCTGGAGTAAATACTTCCAAAGTTGACTGTCTCCCAAAAGCCAAGACACTGGCATAGCACACAGAAGGCAGACGTTATGACTCTATAAACCCATATGAATTTTCAGTAAATCTTCTTACACAGGGTTTCTCAACCTTGGCAGTACTGACATTTTGATCTGGATAATCCTTTGTGGAGGGAAGCTGCCTTGTGAACTGTGGGATGTTTAGCAGCATCCCTGGCTTTGACCTACTAGATGGCAAGAGTACTTTCACCAGTTTTGATAACCAAATATTGCCAAATGTCCTCTGCAAACTTATTGGTCTAGGTGAATCCACTAGTCAAACTACCCAGGTAAGCAGAGCTGGGGGCCAACGTGCAAGGAAATCTAAAATGTGTGGCAGAAAAAGATGATGACCATTTACGGCCCCAGGACCAAATATGGCAGTGGAGCTATAATTTTTCCTGCTAACTTTTCTCTTGTGAGCTATCCAGAAATTATCACCAACCAGAATCCTGAAGAAGCTCTGAGTGTAAGACCAATGGAACAGAACAGAGCCCTCAGAAATAATGCCACATATATACAACCATCTGATCTTTGACAAACCTGACAAAAACAAGAAATGAGGAAAGGATTCCCTATTTAATAAATGGTGCTGGGAAAACTGGCTAGCCATATGTAGAAAGCTGAAACTGGATCCCTTCCTTAGACCTTATACAAAAATTAATTCAAGATGGATTAAAGACTTAAATGTTAGACCTGAAAGCATAAAAACCCTAGAAGAAAACCTAGGCAATACCATTCAGGACACAGGCATGGGCAAGGGCTTCATGACTAAAACACCAAAAGCAATGGCAACAAAAACCAAAATTGACAAATGGGATCTAATTAAACTAAAGAGCTCCTGCACAGCAAAAGAAACTACCATCAGAGTGAACAGGCAACCTACAGAATGGGAGAAAATTTTTGCAATCTACTCATCTGACAAAGGGCTAATATCCAGAATCTACAATGAACTCAAACAAATTTACAAGAAACAAACAAACAACCCCATCAACAAGTGGGCAAAGGATATGAACAGACACTTCTCAAAAGAAGACATTTATGCAGCCAAAAGACACATGAAAAAATGCTCATCATCACTGGCCATCAGAGAAATGCAAATCAAAACCACAATGAGATACCATCTCACACCAGTTAGAATGACGATTATTAAAAAGTCAGGAAACAACAGGTGCTAGAGAGGATGTGGAGAAATAGGAACACTTTTACACTGTTGGTGGGACTGTAAACTAGTTCAACCATTGTGGAAGTCAGTGTGGCGATTCCTCAGGGATCTAGAACTGGAAATACCATTTGACCCAGCCATCCCATTACTGGGTATATACCCAAAGGACTACAAAACATGCTGCTATAAAGGCACATGCACACGTATGTTTATTGCGGCACTATTCACAATAACAAAGACTTGGAACCAACCCAAATGTCCAACAATGATAGACTGGATTAAGAAAATGTGGCACATATACACCATGGAATACTATGCAGCCATAAAAAATGATGAGTTCATGTCCTTTGTAGGGACATGGATGAAGCTGGAAACCATCATTCTCAGCAAACTATCACAAGGACAAAAACCAAACACCACATGTTCTCACTCATAGGTGGGAATTGAACAATGAGAACACTTGGACACAGGAAGGGGAACATCACACACTGGGGCCTGTTGTGGGGTGGGGGGTGGGGGAGGGATAGCATTAGGAGATATACCTAATGTTAAATGACGAGTTAATGGGTGCAGCACACCAACATGGCACATGTATACATATGTAACAAACCTGCACGTTGTGCACATGTACCCTAAAACTTAAAGTATAATAATAATAAAAAAGCTCTGAGTGTATGGAGTGAATCTAATGTGAAAAACAAGTGAATCTGAACAGTGCAAGGGGTGCACCACAGTGGATATGTTGGTGTAGCACCCCCAACCTCAGGTCCCCTTTACAGGTCGGTACCCATCCATCACCTGCTGTGGTTGACTGATAACAATTAAGAGCTGCCAGATATTTGCTCTTAACTAAAATAAGCCAACTGGCCTGGTAGAGAATACTTCCTTCCCACCTCCTTTTGGGCAAACGTTGACCAACTGAGGAACACAAGTCCAGAGGCCACCTCTTCTTTCCTCAAGGTCAGACTAACTGTATGGTGTTATTTCTGTGCTAGAATTTCTCTGTGGGATCAAATATAAGCAAGTTTTAACTCAGATCACTGTGTTGCATAGCATTTTCTCCTACCCTGCCTTAATTTTTTCACTTCTTTTTCTTGAGAGAACTCTCCAAAAAATCTATTGAACAAGAATGCTCATTTCAGGCTTTATTCCTAGGAAATCTGACGTAAAGAAGACATTAAGATAATGTTGGCCTCAAAAATTGAGTTGAGAATTTTGTCCTCTTTTTCCATTTTCTAAAAAAGTTGTGTCTATTGTTTCTTTTTAAATATATGGAATATATGCAAGAATTCAAACCATCTAGGCCATGAGTTTAGTTTATAATTGTGGATACAATTTAGTGTGTGTGTGTGTGTGTGTGTGTGTATATATATGTAGTTTATATATATGTATATAACTATATATGTAAATATGTATGTAATTATATCTATTATATAGTTACATATCTACACATATATAATTTTATACTTATTTTTATATTTTATAATTTTATTATATATAAGCTTGATACTTTTATTTTTAGTAATTTTTTCCATTTCATGTAAATTTTCACCTATTTATAATTATTATAATTTCCTATTATTTTATAATGTCTAAAGCATGTATTTATGGTATGGTATCACATTTTAATTTCTAGCATGAGCCTTTGTGCATTTTTTGTGCTGCTAGGGGTATATAAATTGTAACTTAAAGAATTAACACTGGGCTTTTTTGCTTTTCTCTTTGATTTCTATTTCATGCATTTTAGTTTTTGTCTTTATTTTTTTCTTTTTATAATTTTAACTTCTTTGCTATTCTCTTTTTAACCGCTTGAGATGGATATTTAGCTCACTGATTTTCAGCATTCTTTTTTTGTAACATATAATTTTATTAGAGTAATGGGTTATTTAAAAGTGAATTTCTTAATTATCTTATTTTTATCTGGGTTAATTCCAGTGTGATCAGATAACATAAGTTGTATGACTTTAGTCTTTTAACACTTTTTGAGGTTTTTTTGAGATTGTTCAGTTATGGGCAAGTGTATGGCCCAATTTTGGTAAATGCCTCATGCTTACTTCAAAATAACACTTTCTATAATGATTAGTGTATTAGGTCAAATGAGATTTAGTGATGTAAATGAAATTTGTTATGTATTATCAGACTTTCTTTATCTCTACTTACATTGTGTGTGCTTGTGTCAGTTATTCACAGTCATTGTGAATTTGTGTATTTCCTTTTTCAGTTCTGTGAATTTTGGATTGTATATGTTGAGTGTATACTATTAGGTGCATACACATGTATAATCATTAAACATTTCCTTTAAGAAATATGGCTTTCTTCTATGATCATCTTCTGCCCTACTAAGTAGAAAAATTTTATTGTTGTGACAACTTCATCTTGAGTAATATGTATATTATACGATTAAATTTAAAAATGGTGGGGTGAAAGGAGAAATTCCCTCTTTTTTTAACAGAAGAATGCCAACTACTAAATGCAAAAGTAATTATAGGAATTTAAAAATTACCATTTTACAAACACACGATAATATTTTAAAAAGCAGGAGTCATCAAGGGATACCAAAACCACTGGGTTAGATATTATTAGGAAACCAGATATTTATACAGTTTCCAACTATTAGCCCTCATATTAGTTACTGGTTTTGAAATGGGCAGGTAATTCTATAGTAGAGAAATCTTGTGGGCACCACTTTAATCAAATAATCATATTTAACATCCCTAGTAGTGGGGATAAACTGATACCATGTGCCTATTTATGTGATACACTTGATGAGACACAGCATCACCTGCGTAGTATTTCTTAACAAAGTTTTGTAACAGTGTAATCATGAGGAAGCCATCAGCCAAATCAGAATTGTGAGACAGTTCCAAAAGATTGAGAAACTTTTCTAGATTAAAGGAGACTAGAGATATACAGTGGTTTATTGCAGTTCTTGGGGTAATCTGTGAGTTACAAATTTATTTTCAAGCACATTTGTTTTTCGGTATCCCACAACTTTTAAATGGTGAAAGAGAGAGTAAGTATATGCAAATATATAAAAATGTTAAATACATAGTTATTTTAGGTGAAGGGTATATTGTATTATTTATTCAGCTTTTTGAGAGGCTCACATATCTTACAAAACAAAATTTGATTGGAAAAAATGGATTTTAGAAACTGGAAACATCCCAAATATGTGTTAATGATACAATGTATAAAAATTGTGGTATGTCATTCAATGATACACAGTAGTAAAAATAAATTACAAATACAAGCATCAACATGAATGAATATAAAAACACGAAAAAAGTCACAAAATATATACGGCATGAGTCTACTAGCATAAAATTCAGAAACAAGCTACGTAATATATTTTTTACACAATAAAACTAAAAATGAAAAGCAGGTCAATGTTGAGGGGAGGGAGTATGATACAATCATACAGGGATATACAGAAAGCACCTAAGGTATAGCAGCAGTCTGTTTCTTAATTGAGCAGTGTTCATTCTATTTTATTCTAATTTATTTGTCTAGTTTATATAGTTTCTTTTTCGTAGGATATATTTCGCAATATTCTATTACAATTCAGAAATTGCATGACATTCTAAAGAATGTAACAATTTAAATAGAAAATGTGACTTATGAGGTTTTATTATCAAGAGCCAGTTTTAAAAGATTGCCCACATTTTAAAATTTTTCCTGGCCCCTAATTGTAGTGAGTTTTTTAGATGGAGACTAGCTAGGGCAGGGAGTAAGAGAATGGAAGCAGAGTCAAGGAACCACCATTCCTTCTCTTAAAGTCTTTTTGGCAATAGTCTCCCTGAATAAATATGCCTTCGAAATGGCTATTTCTCCCACTCATGAACTTATGGTCATTTCCCCCTTGTCCTACCAAATTCAGCACTACCTTATTTTAGACGCTTTTCCATGCTCTCTATATTACCTTGAAGGATAAATGGGACTTAATTTATATCACAATTGTCCTTGGGTTTTACTTTAAAATGTCACGAAAGCTAATTTTACTTTTTATTTATTAACTTTTTCCCAACTTAAATTATTTACTATAAAAGAGATTAGTTTACCTGAGCACTTTCCTAAATACTGCATGAAGAAAATATTACAGAAAAATTTCATTTTTGGTGATGTGTGCTTAGAAGAGAAAGTTAAAAATAAGCATTATTAATAAAGTCAAGTCATTTTTTATTAATGCAGACAGATTTTTATATGCAATTTAAAAGACCCAAGGGTCGATTAACTTTGGGATGCATTTGAATCTTTAGTTTAAAGTGTTCTCTATCATTAAAGGAAGTTTATTTCTCTCATGTAAGGGTGGATTTCAGTTTGCTTTCAAATTTGAGAAATGGAAGAACAACGAACTCTCAGATACTTTCAGTGCTACCTGATTTAAGAGTACTGTAGAGAGAGGTATATTGATTCTTCAGGACACAGAGACCTGCCCTGAACAGAATTCTCAGGTCCTTCATTGGAATTGCAATTTCTAAGCAAGGATTCTCTGATATGCATTATTCCTGCATTTGGATATTCTTATACATGTTTCCACCATTTCTACAATCCTTCAGTTTAATCAAGAATGCTTATCTTTCACTTTTAAAAGCATATCAAATGCTTTTAAAATCATTTAAATCATTAAGCCTTTTATTTTCATGAAGTCTTCAGAGATTTGCGGGGAAAGGCAACATGCAGTACTTTGTAAATGTCAAATCTCTTTACAGAAATGCGAAGGAGGTATTGCAGGCTGTCATCTGTTCTTCATGCTGCCTACTGACCCTCGTTGGGAGCTACCAATTCCCAAGGATTCTGTACCCGCTAAAATAAATAGCTCTCTCAGGCACAAAGTAAAATGTTAGACAACATACAGCAGAACAGCACCCACTTTAATTATACTCTGCAATGTGTTTTATAAAGAAGAAGGGATCTGAAGGGTTAGACATTGAAGGACAGTTCCAGCTGGCAGGCAATGAAGGAGAATGCTTTCAAATCAGCTGTGGCAAATGACATGAAAAGAATGGGGAGAAAATGGGTAAGTTTCAGGCAGATGAAGATAGAAAAAGGATGTTACAGTTTTTAGAATGCAAAATAACAAATATATGTGAAAGTTAAAAATAAAAGTCAGATTGCGTTGAAGTCAGGTACATTTTAGTAGCTTGGAGAATGGGTCTCAAAATAGTGATAAGACAGATGTGGCTTTGCCTCTGTCAACAACCGAATCATCAAATCATCACCTGGATTGTTTACCAGAACATGGGAAACACAGTCTTAGGCTAAAAGCCACTCATTGTTTCCCCAGCATTATAATTAAGAAGTACTTTATTTAACTAACAAACAACAGGACCTGCTTTGTACAACATTTATATCACTTGAGACGTAGACAACACTATTCATTAAGGCAGTATGGCATAGTGAATAAAGTAGTTTTGGTCTCATAAATCTCAACATAGTTAAAAAGCTTACTGGATATATTGGCATTAGGCAAGGTATCTAAGTGCAATTAATTCCAGTTTTGCAGTCTTTAATTATTATACTAATCAAACATCTTAACTTATGGAGTTATAATGTAATCAGCAGCACAGAAGTGTACATTATGCTAGCTTTGCAGGTCATTGTGTCTTTTTACTAGCCGTATTTTTGGTTTTGTACTTGCTAATTGAATTATTGCATTTAAAAACCTTAAATGTCATTTTAACCTCCAGCCTTCTTCCTTGATTTAGAAACTATTCTTGATTTGATCAACTTATTATTAACACTTTTTCAACTCTAGCAACTCCAAAGCCAGTATTCTTAATTAATCCTTCCTTCTGGACTCAAAGCCCAATGGTAATCTAATTCTTTTTTAGGAACTATCTCCACTGGTTCTTAATCTCCTTTGCATTCTTAGATTGTTAAGGCCCCAAATCTCAGAAATGTACTTCAGGTTAGCCACCAGTCCAGTGCATAAATTACCCTCAATTATCTATTAAAATTGGTTCTCTAATCTCTGTATGAACATGGAACTCATAGCTCTTTCTACTTTTGGACAGATTTAACTGCTGGAAGGGTCATTCTTATAGTGAAGCAAAGGAAATGGTGTCATATGGTTGAGTCATTACCTTCCTGGGAGTCAGAAGATATTGATCTGTCATTTTTAAATATATAAACCTGGAAGAAGTATGGCATAACTATGTCTGAACCTTTACTAAAAGTTCATTTTATTTTATTTTTTAATCAGTATTTTTCAAACTATGTTTTGAAAGTGGTTTCAAAGTCTTGTCCCTATACCAGTAGGGTCAACATCACTTAAGAACTAGTTAAAAATCTCAATAGTCTGCCCAGCACAGTGACTGAAACAGAAATTTGAGAGGTCAGGTCCAGCAATTGGTACTTTAGAAAATATTCTATGGCATTTTAATGTACACCAAAGTTTGAGAACCCCTGATTTACTAGTTTTAAAATAAATGCAGAAGATTAAGACTGCCATTTAAAAATGTAAACACTATGGAACAATGAAAAGTTTGCAAAAACTTAAATACTGTGAAATTAAGAAATGTATTCTGAAGTAATTCATGGATAAAGAGGCAATACAAAATAGAAAACTCGGAAACTTTAAAATGAAAAAATCATAATAAGGTATTTTTAAATTATATAATAAAATTACTCTAAATAAATTAATAAATAAAAGAAATTATGAAAAAAATTGTCATCTATCTGACAGAGTACAATATACAAAGAACTCTTAGAAATGAGTAGCATCTTAATGAATAAATGGGCAAAGGCTATAAACAAGAAAATCCCAAAAGATAAAATTCCAGTGGCCACAAACATACATCAAGAGTCAGTCACTATAACAGGAAGGTAATTAAGATAAAAGTTATATTGAGATATCACTTTATACTCCTTAAATACAAAGAATAAAAAAGTAATATAAATTATTAGTCACAGCGAAATGTAGAAATGTGTATTCTCATACCTTATTGCTAAGATATTATTACAACTTTAGAATGCTACCAAAATTTAAGAATGAATGTATATATATAGATATACCCTTTGAATCAGTAGTATTTCTCTTGTAAACCTGTTTTTTTACAAATAAAAGACTAAGTTCAAAGGATTGCATTAATGAAGATGTTCATTGAAGCACGTTGTAATGACAAAGAAGGCAAATGCTCATCAGTAGAGAAACAACTGAATAAAATGAGGTTTTTCTTTCCAACATAGAATTTTAGGCAGTTGCAGCTATAGTAGTTGAATTAAGGGACTGAGAGATTTTTATAGGCTATTGTTGGTTAAAAAATGTTATCATCTTAATAAAACAGTAAGAGCTAGCATTTGTTCAATCCTTTTACACTTTACGTATATGTCTATTAAGTCGTTTAGTCCCTCAATCTCCTTGTTAAGTAAAAATTTCTATTATCCTTTTCTTAAAGATGACAAAACTAAGGCACAGAGAATTTAGCCCAAGGTCACTCAGGTAGGTAATTAATGTGTGGATTTGGATAGTCTTTGGTCTCAGATTTTATATTTCGGTGTCTCGCTCTGTCGCCCAGGCTGGAGTGCAGTGGCGCGATCTCAGCTCACTGCAAGCTCCGCCTCCCTAGTTCACGCCGTTCTCCTGCTTCAGCCTCCCGAATAGCTGGGACTACAGGTGCCCGCCACCCCACCGGTTAATTTGTATTTTTAGTAGCGACGGGGTTTCACCGTGTTAGCCAGGATGGTCTCGATCTCCTGACCTCGTGATCCGCCCGCCTCGGCCTCCCAAAGTGCTGGGATTACAGGCTTGAGCCGCCGCGCCCAACTGAGTTTATTTTCTTAACAATTAAACTCTACTGCCTCTCTAAGCTAGACATAGAGAAGTACATAATATAATCCCTCCTTTTTTAAAAAATGACATATATAATTGTATCTTAATGCATAAGTATAGAGTAGCTATAAAAGGATGCATGACAGCTTGCAAATATTGGCTTTGAGGCTGGAAGAGAGGTTGTACTAGGAAAGAAGGTTGCATGAAAGTAAGCCAAAAATAGGGAGGGAGAGAGGGAGGAAAGGAGGGAGGGTGGGAGGGTGGGAGAGAGGGAAGGAAAAAAAAAGTAAAAAAGGAAAAAAGGAAGGAAAGAAGGAAATCTGCATTCGAAAAGGGCATATAAAAATGTGAAATACAGTTATTGTAGCATGGTTCCTTACATGTAAAACTATATGTTTGAATGTGCCATGTGAGCATATCTGTGTATATATATTTGTGTACGAATATAGAAATTTATAAAATGATATTTTCCAAAATACTCATTGCATTTATAACTGTTACTGTTACTTTCCTCTTTATATTCTTCTGTATTAAATTTTTTTAAAATGAGGAGTTATATCTTTTATAAAACTGAGGTTATAAACAACCCCACTTCTAAAATGTGAACTGGGCATAACAACTTTACTTAAAAAAGAATACAGCATGAAAAGGGAGAAAACAGCTTTACAGGGAAAAAAATTGACAAACACTACCTGGTGATCAAGGTTAGTAACAACAAGTCCTATATCATTATACTCTTGATATGATGTGATAAGAATGGCATTTTTCTTCTGTGGTCTTTCTCAACCAAATATATCACTCTAGCCTAATCAGGAGGAAGACATGAGGCAAATTCTAATTTAAAGATGTTCTACAAAAACTACCTGACCATTTCTTTTCAAAACAGAAGTTTTAAAAAGATTATTAGAAACAAGAAAATTGTGCAAAATTGTCACAGCCAAGAGGAACCTAAGAAAAGTTGAAAACTAAATTTCATGTGGTAACCTAAGTGGGATACTGGAAGAGAAAAAAAAAAAGAATAGAAGAAAACCGAGGAAATTGAAGTAAAGTATGGGCTTTACAAAATAATGATGTATCCATATTTACGCATTATGTGTAACAAATATATTACGTTAAGGTAAGATGTTAATAATAGAGGAACTGAGTGTGGGATATATAGAAACTGTTTGTAATATCTTTGTAATAGTCCTGCAAACCTAAAACTAGTATAAATTTAAAAGTTTATCCACAAAAAAGGGAAAAACAGAACAAAAACGTATGAAGCTACAGTCATTACTAAACAAAACAAACAAAATACATGGCAGAAATCATTTTAGGTGCTGTAGTTACTGCAGGATATAAACAAACCAACTACTGTTTGGAACTTACATACAAGAATAATAAATTATCAATATTTCTATCCTCCATCCTACCAAGTAAAGGAACTTCAAATATTTTAACTGTAAACTCCAAGCTCTGCTATGTCATCCATGTTTTTGTTGAGCAATTTAGTTCAATATTGTCATGAAAACCAAAAAATTAGGGTTTTTTTGTTTTCGTTTTTGTTTTTTGAGACAGAGTCTTGCTCTGTTGCCCAGGCTGGAGTGCAGTGGCACGATCTTGGCTCACTACAACCTCCACCCCCAGGTTCAAGCAATTCTCCTGTCTCAGCCTTCCAAGCAGCTGAGATTACAGGTATCTGCCACCATGTCCAGCTAATTTTTTATATTTTTAGTAGAGACAGGGTTTCACCATGTTGGCCCTGCTGGTCTCAAACTCCTGACCTCAGGTGATCCACCTGCCTCAGGCTCCCAAAGTGCTGGGATAAGAGGCATGAGCCACCATGCCCAGCATGTTTTGTTTTTATAGTCAACAGGTTTACCAAGCTAATTTATTGAGTTGTTTGTTTACCATTGCTTTTCATGTTCCACTCTTTATTCAGATTTCAATTCTTCTCTTGCTAAAGTAAACCTCTCAGTGATAGTTTATGAGTAGGTAACACTCTTATTCTTTGTTTTAATTTTTCTTTTTTAGTTTGGATGGATATAGATGTCTAGGTGAATAGGTTTTTTTATCCCAGCAATTTGAAGCTTTTAAATAGTAATCTCTAAATTCTAGAGGATTCTAGAGATTACTATATTATCTCACATTCTTCAAGATTTTCTCTTTATCTTTCATATTCCACAGTTTCATTATAAAATTATCAAGCTAAAGATTTAGTTTTTGTTTTTTAATGGGAAGATACCTGTCTTTATAGGAAAATTTCTGTTATTTCCTCTTTACATATTGCCTATTTTCCATTGGCTCTAGTTTTTCTCCTTTAGATTTATATTACGTTTTTATATTTTATCCTGACTTTCCTGCTGCACTTTTCATTATTAAATCTTCTTTGCTACTTTCTCCTAGATTATATCTTCTGATTCCCTAATTCTCTCTTTAGCTATGTCTAATCTAATTAAAATTTCAGCTTCCCATAGGTACCTCCTTTATCATCCACAACACAGATTAGACAAATCTGTTCTATCCTGCATTTCTGGACCAGTAGGCAGAGTTTTTATAGCTGCCAATTTTTTTGTATTGGCACTGACCTCATAGTGAGAGAGATTGCCAAGGCAAAATGACTCAAGTGAGATGTATCCAGTCCTTTGTGACTTCTGATATGATTGGGAGAAAATTCTTCATATTGTGCTTCTACATGTTTTCTGAAAAGAAACATTGCTAGCATTGTTACAAACTACCTTCTTATGTGCATGTGTGTTTGTGTTTAATAACAAACAGGCATGAATAATAGAATAGTATCTTTTGCCTAGGAAAAGGACAGATTGTTTCCTGGATGGATAATAAAGAGAATACCCACCATCAGGGCAAAGCCTGGGCAAGTATGCTAGCAGCCCCTTATTAAATTGGAGGTTTCCTGTGTTCAGGAAACACAGGAAATTGCTGTGATTCTAATTCACTGTGTGCACAAGATCCACTGGAATGTACCTCCATATTATACACATGGTACTTGGGAGGCAAGGAGAATCAATGCAAACATTACTATCATGCTACTTGCTATGCCATGTCTCTCACCCAGGAGTTTCTGATCCAAGAGTCTTGTGTCTTCTGCCAAACACTATGGAAACTGTCTGAGATATTACTGTTATGTCCAGTTCTACTACACTCAGCTTCTGGCAGCATTAAAAAAATAAAACCTGACAGACAAAAATCTGTTTCTGCTACTACCATGGGTTGCTTGTATTCCTTACTTTGGCTTTGAGTTCTCTTTTTTTTTTTCTCTGCCTCTTGGGTTTCTTTCTTTCTCCCTTATCCCCTCCCCAACCCTACCTTCTTTCCTCCTCCTTCCCTCTCAGGAATATTTTTATTTGTCTTTTTCCTTATCTAGCATTTCTGTGTTTGAAGGAAAAGCTATGTTCTCCTAATCAATTTGATTTCTCATAGTGATCAAGTTTACATACATCTCTTCTGGTACTGACATCATTGTTTCCTTTCAATTTGTATTATAATTACTAAATTGGTTTCAGGGGTCCATCAGATTCTCTTGAATCATTTTCCCTTTTAAAGTCTCTGGCCCTATGACTATACATATATGATACACACAATATTTTCTTTGCAAAATATAGGACAGACATTTGAATAATCCCTGCATTTCCCTCTGTGTTTATCAGAATTCTTAGTGAAAAGCCATGGAAACCAGCTCTTTTTAATATAAGCAGAAAATTTGTTAAAGGATATTAGATAGTTTACAGTCTCTCTAGAATAAGATCATTATGTTTAGAGGCGAGGTAGACATAAATAATTGTCTTGTGCTCTTCTAATGGGGAAAAAATTAATACCAGCCCTGTTCAGCACACACACTGACTGAGCTTATACACCTGATACTGAGAATTGGGCCTTTCTTCTGTGAATTTAGCCACTGTTGCCTCTGAACGTTGTCTCTCGTGCCCCCTTTACCCAAATGGATTCTTCTCAGAACCCTGTCTTTCCACTATTAGTTTTCAATTACACGCACGCACGTGCACACGCACACACACACACACACACACACACACACAGCATCTGAGATTGGCAGTGCCTATTTTGCATGTCTGCTTTCTAGCTTGAAGAATGTAGCATCACAATGAAGAAAATTCCCTCAGAATCATGTAATTTGTTTATTTAACTGGCCATATTGCGTAGAGTGTTATCAGAGAATTACTTCAGTCAAGCCCAGTTAGAACTGTATTCCAGACTTGTCTATGACATAGTGAAAAAATCTCATAGTTTTCTCAGTCACTTTTATCAGTTAAAAAGAAAATTTTCATGTTATAAAGGGATTAGTCATTCTAATACAAAACTTCATTCTCTTAATTCAAAGCTTCTCCTCATTTTAAGTTTCATATAGACTCAGAAGCCTTGACAGAAGATATCTGTGGTCTTTTCTCATATATTTCTTTCGAAACTCCTACTACTTATTAAGCTACTTTTACTCCAGGGTAGTGGCAGAAGGAGGGAGGAAAGAAAGGGTCTTACTTGACTGGTGCTATTAAGATCTGCTATTGATTCCCTCTCTAGTGCAAATGCCCAAATGCTGCTTCTCTCTTGGAGTGCTTTTACGAGTTCATTACTCTTCCCAGACAATATTTGATATCACATAAATATATCATTTTTTACTTCCATTTGGCTTCAGTTTGGGGGAATCAGTGGGGCCAGACTCTTCTCTTCAGGCTGTATTGTCATAGTAGGCTATATCTTCTTGTTGTGGAGGTTGGGAGGAAGTTTACAAGATGGTTGCAACATGGCCGTTGTCAGAGGCATAAATGAAAATGCTTTGCTCCACTCAATTGTCTAAGTGCTAGTTGTTCTGATTGTGGCCCTTTTTCTCCACTTTTCTTCCTTAGGTCCAGCCAGCCATATTTTGCCATCCCAGGCAAGAACATCAACTTATTGCACCTTACCATTAAACTCCTGGGCAGATAGGTTGATGATTTCTGTGAATATTTTTCTTATTTATTTTGATTTCATATAAAGCAAGTCTACAGGTTTCTTTTGCGTAATAGGTTTCCACCAAGGGGGTCAAATGTCAGGTCTTGCTTCAGGCCAACACACTCACTTTATATTGTTTCTAAGATTTCCTCATTTGGCTTGAGAGAAAAAATGCACAGAATCACAACTCTTTTTAACAAACACACAAACTTCAAAACTTTTCTCCCAAAAGTCTTTGGCTTTTTTTTTTTTTTTTTCATACAGGCTGGAGGTTAAGGGGTAAGGCCAGAAAACCAATTTTGCTACTGTACCAAGTCCTGTAAATATGTCTAGCACCTATGTTGTCATCTATTATTCTCACTAATGAGGCTTCAGTCAAAAGGAAAAATCCTCAATTAACACATCCTATTACATGAAAGATGTTCAACACGTTAGAGCAGAAAAAAGATTAAGTCCTGACATGCCCATTCTCATCTATGATTCATACAGCTTCTACTTCACCAACCAGATTTCAATGTTTAAATAAGACATAATTAGGTTCACTAACCATTATTATTACTACCATATACTAGATTTTGAGATGACAAATTATCTTAAAAATTACATTGGCCAGGCGCGGTGGCTCACGCCTGTATTCCCAGCACTTTGGGAGGTTGAGGCGGGCAGATCATGAGGTCAGGAGATCAAGACCACCCTGGCTAATACAGTGAAACCCCATCTCTACTAATAATATAAAAAACTAGCTGGGCGTGGTGGCACATACCTGTAGTCCCAGCTACTTGGGAGGATGAGGCAGTAGAATCACTTGAATCTGGGAGGCAGAGGTTGCAGTGAGCCAAGATCGCGCCATCGCACTCCAGCCTGGGTGACAGAGCAAGACTCTGTCTCAAAAAAAAAAAAAAAAATTACATTAAAAATGTATTAGTGTTCTGCTATTGGTAAAATTTCTTACACTTTTAGAAAATCTCTGGATAGTCGGAGTTTTTCCATATTTGTCAAATTGTGGCTATGTGTCATGTTAGAACTTTTATTATGAAAGCTTTATCTCCATTCTATGGTTGATATATTTCACTGGACAAATATTTACTCAAACTGGGAATAATATCATGAATAACACCAACATGGCCCCTACATTCATAGAGCTCGTAATAAAGCAAGACATGTATACATTAAACAGCTCATTTCACAACTGAGTAATTATTGTGGTAATAATTATAAAAAATATAAAGTACATTGAGAGTAAATATCAGAAGTAATTGATCAAAACTAGAAAATTTGGAGGAAAATTGTATTTATCTATTTATTCATTGATTTACTAATATTTGTTGAGAATGTATAATATGCCATACCTTGGGATTCTTTAAAGAAATGACTATAAGCTGAGGACTGAAGGATAACTTGAAGTTAAGTTGATAAAGATGGGGGAAGTAGGAAACTCTCCAGAGGAAGCAACAGAATGTAAGATCTCCTTAAGGTAGAATAAAATATGACTTATATAAATAAATTTTAAAAAGTTGCTATGTTTTAAACGACTGAAATCAAGTGAAAGAAGATTATGAATAAGCATAGTGAAATAAATAAGTGCCAGATCATATAAGGTGTTTTGGTCAAACTGTTAGGGGTGGCAAATCTGTACACATCTGCTATAAGCTCAATTGTTGCCTCCTTAGAAGAAAGAATTCAACTGAGGGGCAGAAGACAAAGTGAGAGACCAAGGCAAGTTTTAGAGCAGAAGGGAAAGTTTATTAAAACGTTTTAGGACAGGAATGAAGAAAAGTAAAGTACACTTGGAAGAGCACCAAGCATGCAACTTGAGGACAAGTGTGTGATTTGACTTTTGACTTCGGGTTTTATGTGTTGACATGCCTCTGGGATCTTGCATTTCTTTTCCCCCCAGTTCTTCCCTTGAGGTGGGCTTTCTGCATGTGTGGTGGCCTGCCAGCACTTAGGAGGGGGCACATGCACAGTGTGTTTATGGAGTTGTACACATGCTCCCTTGCCACATTCTTCTCTTCTAGAATGTTTCTAGAAGGGCATATACCAGTTAAAGTCCACCATTTAGCTAGCCTCTTAGTGCACATGCTTGAGCCAACTTGCCCAACTCCTGAGATCTTATCAGGAAGCTGCTGATCATGTTTCAGGTGTTTTTCTATCTATTGGAAGGCTGCCTTTCCCTGGTACTGACTGTGGCCAATGATTATTTTAGAGAGACAGTTTAATGACAGCCTGACCATCACCTGATGGTTGCTTGACATTCCTGGTGGTGGGGTTGGAGGGCCTGTCCTCCTTGTTCATGGCTGCCTACTGTAACAAAACTATGGACTTTTGTAATTTTCTTAAAGTTATTGGGATGTTTTTATACAAAAAGGTAATGTTCAGATTGAATTTTAAAATGATTACAGGAGTAACATCAGCAAGATGTCAAAGTAAGAATTTCCAGCCCCCATGCCTCCACAAAATACAAATTAATGACCATGTAAGGATGAAAATACCTCCAAGAAAGCTTTGGAACACAATAAGAGGTCACAGTGCTCTATTAGAGCACAGAAAGAAAGACAAGATATGTTGAAAAGAGTAAGAAGAACAGCTTCACATTACCCACATCTCCCCTCTAATGTGGAGACACCAGATCATGAATAATCAGGGAATCATGATGCCACCAAAGTTAAAGAAAATAAAGCTCCAGTAATCAACCCTAAAGAAATAGGTCCTATAAACTTCCTGACAGAAAAGAAAAAAACTTCAAAATAGTCCCTTTAAAGAAGCTCGATGAGATGCAAGAAAATGCAGACAGACAATTGCAATATATCAGGAAAATAATACATGAACAAAAGTAGAAGTTCAACAAAGAGACAGCAACCATAAAATATTTAGATCTGAAGAACATAATGACTGAACTGAAAAATTTAATAGCTTCAACAGCAGAATCAGTTGAACAAAATCATCAGTAAACCCAAATATAGGCCACTTGAAATTATCTGGGCAGAAAAACAATGACAATAAAAGAATAGTAAAGAGTGAATAAAGCCTATGGGACTTATGGGACATCATCGTGTGAACCAATATACGATTATGAAATTCCAACAAGGAGAAAAAACAAGCAAAAAATGTATTTAAAGGAATAATAGCTGAATTTTTTTCAAAACTTGGGAGAGGAATAGACATAAATATTTATGGAATCCGAAGGATTCAAAGTAGATTAAATGTGAAGAGATCTACATTGAGACATATAAAATTGTCAAAAGTCAAAGATGAAGAGAGAATTTTGGAAGCAGCAAGCAAATAGCAACTTGTCACATACAGGGGAAACCTAATGAGATTATCAGCAGATTTTGTAGCAGAAACCTGCCAGGCCAGAAAAAAGTAGAATGATATATTCAAAGTGCTATAAAAGGAAAAAAAAGAAAATCTTTCAATCAAAAATAGTATACCTGGCAAAAACTGTCCTTTAAAAAAGGAGAGGTAAAGACTTTTCCAAACAAACAAAAATGGAGGAAGTTCATTACAACTATTCTTGCCTTTGAAAAAGTGATAAAGGAAGTTTTTCAAGTTAAAAGACATGACCAAAAAAAAAAAAAGCCAGCAACATGAAAACATATGAGAGTATAAATGTCACTGATAAAAGTAAACATATAGAGTTCTATATATTGAATAATGTTATAATGTAATTATTACTATAATGGTGGTCCAGAAATCCCTTTTAATTATACCATAAAATTAAAAGAGGTATTAAAATAGCTATAAAAATGTGTTAACGGATACACAATATAAAAAGAAGTAAATCCATCAATAACATAAAGTGTGTGTGGAGGACTAAGAGTGTAGTTTGTGTGTATGCTCTAAGTTGCTGCTATCAGCTTAAAATAAACTGTTATAAATATTAAAATTTTATGTAAGTTTCATGGTAACTACAATGAGAAAACATATAGCAGACACAGACACAAAAGAAAAGAAAGTATGTCACTACAAAAAGTGATTATATCACATAAAATGACAAGAGGGGAACAAAAGAACTACAAGACAGAAAACAACTAAATGACAATAGTATGAATTATTACTTTAACTGTAAACTTATTAATCTCACCAATAAAAATAATAGAGTGGCTAAATTTAGAAAATGATAAAATCCAACTCTATGCTATCTATAGGAGACACACTTAGATTTAAAGATACACATCTTGGCAAGGCGTGGTAGCTCACACCTGTAATTTCAGCACTTTGAGAGGCTGAGGTGGGCAGATCACAAAGTCAAGAGATGGAGACCATCCTTGCCAACATGGTGAAACCCATCTCTGCTAAAAATACAAAAATTAACTGGGCATGGTGGCACGCACCTGTAGTCCCAGCTACTCAGGAGGCTGAGGCAGGAGAATCCCTTGAACCCTGGAGGTGCAGGTTGCAGTGAGCTGAGATGGCGCCACTGCACTCCAGCCTGGTGACAGAGCAAGACTATATCTCAAAAAAAAATACACATTGGCTGAAAGTGAGGGAATGCAGACATATTTTATGCAAATGAAAACCTAAGCAGATAAGGCTAGCTATAGTCATGTCAGAAAAGTAGAATTATAAGAAAACTGTTCATAAGAGACACAAAGGATCATTACATAATAATAAAATAATAAATTCAACGGGAAGATATGTGAATTATTTATGTGTGTGCATATATATGTGCGTATGTATGTGTGTGTATATATATATACACACACACACACGTGTGTGTTGCCAACATCAGAGGATGTAAATATGTAAATATTGACATATCTAATGGGATAAAAATTTATCTATAAGATAATAGGAAACTTTAATACTTTACCTATAATAATGTACAGATCCAGACAGAAAATCAACAAGAAAACAGCAAGATGTTACAACACTTTAGATTAAATGAACCTAACAGACACCATATACAGAACATTCCACCCAATGGAAGCAAAATACACATTCTTCTGAAGTGCACATGTAACACTCCAAGATGGATTACACGTGGGTTACAAAGCAAGTTTTAATATGCTTAGGAAAGTTTGAGTAATTTCAAGTCTCTTTTCTGACCACATTAAAATTAAACTGAAAATGAATAACAAAAATAAAGTGAAAAAATTCGCAAATACTTGGAAATTATAAAACACCCTTGAACAACAATTGAACCATAGAAGAAATCAAAAGGAAAATTGAATATGTCCTGAGACAAATAAAAATAAGACCCACCATGCCAAAACTTCAAAAACCATACTAAGAGGAATTTTAAACTGACAAGTGCCTCCATGAAAGAAGAAAGATCTCAAATAAACAACCTAATATTGTAGCTCAAAAAAAAAACTAGAAAATGTAGAGCATACAAAATCCAAAGTTATAAGAAGATAAGAAATAACAAAAATTAGAGCAGAAATAAAATGAAAGTAAGAATGACAATAGAAAAACATGCATAAAACTAAGAGTCCGTTTCTTGAAAAGATAAACAAAATTGACAAAATCCTTAGCTAGACTAAGTAAAAGAGTGTAGACTCAAATAGAATCAGAAATGGAATGAGAGTCATTATGACCAATGACAAATAAAAAAGATTATGAGGGACTGTTAGGAATAATTACACACCAACAAAGTGAACAACCTTGAAGAAATAGATAAATTCCTAGAAACATACAACCTAGCAAGACTAAATCAAGAAGTAATGCAGAGCTGAACAGACCAATTAAAAGAGAGGAGATTAGGAGATATACCTAATGTAAATGACGAGTTAACAGGTGCATCACACCAACATGGCACATGTATACATATGTAACAAACCTGCACGTTCTGCACATGTACCCTAGAACTTAAAGTAAAATAAAAAATAAATAAATAAAAGAGAGGAGATTGAGTACATAACCACAAACCTCCCAATAAAGAAAAGACTAGGTTCAGATGACTTTACATTTAAATTCTGCCAAACATTTCAAAAACATTTAATATCGATCCATCTTAAACTCTTCCAAAAAACAGAAGAGGAAACCCATCTAAATTCATGAGGTCAACATTACCATAACAACATCAGACAAGGATATCACAAGGAAAGAAAACTAGGGGCCAATATCGCTGATGAAAATTGATGCAAAACTACACAGCAAAATGTTAGCAAACCAAATATAATAGCATATTTAAAAGATCATATGTCATGACCAAATGGAAGTTATCCCTGGGATGCAAGGATGGTTCATCATATGCAAATTAGTAAATATGACACACAACATTAAATGAATAAAGAATAAAATTTCTATGATCATGTAGAGATGCAGAAAAAACAATCTGACAAAATTCAACATTCTTATATGATGAAACAACCTCAATAAATTAGGTATAGAAAAATTTAATTGAATACCATAATGGCTGTAAATGAAAAGCCCACACCTAACATCACACTCAAAGGTGAGAAACTTAAAACTTTTTCTTATAAGATCTGGTGCAAGGCAAAAATACTGACTCTCACCACTTCTATTTGTCATAATACTAAAAGCCATAGAGCAATTAGGCAAGAAAAAGAAATAAAAGGCAACCAAATTAGACAGAAGGAAGAAAAATATTCTCTATTTTCAGATTACATGATATTATATATAGAAAATCCTAAAGATTCCCCACAAAAAACTTGTTAGAATTTAGTAAAGTTGTAGGACTCAAGATCAAAGTAACTCAGTTATGTTTCTATATACTAACAATAAGCAATCTGAAAAGGAAAATACAAAAACAATGCTATTTAAAATAGCATCAAAGTTAATAAAATAGGAATTGATTTAAATAAAGAGGTGAAAGACCTATATACTAAAATTTATAAAACATTTATAAAAGAAATTAAAGTAGACACAAATAAATGGAAACACATTCTATGTTCATGGATTGGAAGAATTAATACTGTTAAAATATCCATAATTCCCAAAGCAATTTACAGGTTCAATGTAATCGCTATCAAAATCCCAATGGCAACTTTCACAGCAATAGAATAAAATCTTAAAATTCATGTGAAACCACAAAGACCATGAATCAGCAAAGCAATTTTGAGAAAAAACAAAGCCGGAGACATCACCCTTCCTGATCTTATAACTCAGTACAAAGCTACAGTAATCAAAACAGTGTAGTGCTGTTATAGAAACAGACATATCGACCAGTGGAACAGGATAAAGTGTGAGAAATGAAGTCATGCACAAAAATTCAACTAATGTTTGACAAGAGTGCCATGAATACACAATGGGGAAGGAAAGCCTCTTCAATAAATGGTGCTGGGAAAATTGGGTATCCGTATGCAGAAGAATAAAATTAGGCCATTATACCAGACACAAAAATCAACTCAAAGTGGAATAGGGACTTAAACATAAGACCTGAAACCATACAACTTCTAGTAGAAAAAAGAGGATAGAAGCTTCTTGACACTGGGCTTGGCAATGACTTCTTGTACATGACACCAAAAACACAGGCAACAAAACAAAAACAGAAAACTGTGATTGCATCAAACCATAAAGCTTCCTCGTGGTGAAGAAAACAATCAACAAAATGAAAAGGCAACCTATGGAATGGAAGAAAATATTTACAAACCATATATTTGATAAAGAGTTATTATCCAACAATGATAGACTGGATTAAGAAAATGTGGCACATATACACCATGGAATACTATGCAGCCATAAAAAATGATGAGTTCATGTCATTTGTAGGGACATGGATGAAGCTGGAAACAATCATTCTCAGCAAACTATCGCAAGGATAAAAAACAAAACACAGCATGTTCTCACTCACAGGTGGGAATTGAACAATGAGAACACATGGACACAGGAAGGGGAACATTGCACACTGGGTACTGTTGTGGGGTAGGGGGTGGGGGAGGGATAGCATTGGGAGATATACCTAATGCTAAATGACGGGTTGATGGGTGCAGCACACCAACATGGCACATGTGTGCATATGTAACAAACCTGCACGTTGAGCGCGTGTACCCTAAAACTTAAAGTATAATAATAATAAAATTAAAAAAAGTTATTATCCAAAATATAAGGAACACCTACAACTCAATAGCAAAAAAATAAACTGATTTAAAAATCGGCAAAAGAACTTAATAGACATTTCTCAAAAAAAGTAATACAGTTGGCCAACAGGTATAGGAAAAGGCCATCAACATCAGTAACATCAGGGAAATAAAAATCAAAACCACATGAGATATGACCTGATACCTGTTAGAATGGCTATTATCAAAAACAACCAACCAAAACCCAAACCAAAACAAAACGAAAGATCGTATATGTTGGCAAGAATATGGAGCAAAGGGAACACTGTTGGTGGGAATGTAAATTGTTGCAGTATGGAGTTTCCTCAAAAAATTTTTTAAAAATAAAATTACCATATGATCCCACAATCCCTTGTCTGGGTACATATCCAAAGGAATTGAAAACAGGAGCTTAAGGAGTTATCTGCTCTCCCAAGACATGAAAGCAACCTGTGTCCATCAACTGATGTATGGGTAAAGAAAACGGTACATCCAGTCTGCCTTCCATATCCATGGGTTCTGCATCCACGAATTCAACCAATCCCTGATCCAAAATACAATATTATTCATGGGACGGAGAAATAGATACGAAGGGCTGACTTTTCGTATCTGAGGGTTCTGCAGGGCCCACTGTGGGAATTGAGAATCCATGGATTTTGGTATGTTGTGTTCTGCAAAAGTGGGAAGAAACTTTTGCAGGTGATGGATATGTTTATGGCATAGATTGTGATGGTTTCACCATGTATAAAGTCAGCTGAGTAATGGTTTTTTGGTCAACAATAGATGGCAAATACAACAGTGGTCCTATAAGATTATAATAAACCTGAAAAACGCTTTACAGCCTAGTGACATTTTGATGATCTTGACCCTATGTGGGTCTAGGCTAACGTATGTGTTTGTGTCTTAGTTTTTGTTGTTGTTGTTTTGTTTTTTGTTTTTGTTTTGTTTTGTTTTGTTTTTCATAGAGAAGAGGTTTAATTGACTCACAGTTCTGCATGGCTTGAAAGGCTCAGGAAACTTACAATCATGGCAGAAAGCAAAAAGGAAGAAAGGCACCTTCTTCACAAGGTGGCAGGAAGGAGAATTGCTGAGTAAAGGGGGAAAAGCCCTTTATAAAACCATCAGATCTTGTGAGAACTCACTCACTATCACAAGAACAGCATGGGGGTAACCGCCCCCATGATTCAGTTACCTCCCACTGGGCCCCTCCCATGACACATGGGGATTATGGGAAACTACAATTCAAGAAGATTTAGGTGGGGACATGGCAAAACCATAGCACCATTTCCTAGGTGCCAAAAGGGTTGGGGACCACTGTCTTAGACAATTTGCAAAAAGTGTGATTATCCACTCACTATTTTGGTTCTTTTTTTGTGGAAGAGGTGAGTACCAGATATACCTAGTGAGCCATCTTGAAGCCCCTCCTCCATAGTTTCTTGTTTGTTTTTCATGTCACTTATGTAATTATTTTTCTTTTTTTTTAATACTTTAAGTTCTAGGGTACATGTGCACAACGTGCAGGTTTGTTACATATGTATACATGTGCCATGTTGGTGTGCTGCATCCATTAACTCATCATTTACATTAGGTATATCTCTTAATGCTTTCCCTCCCCCCTCCCCCAACCCCACGACAGGCCCCCATGTGTTATGTTCCCCTTCCTTTGTCCAAGTGTTCTCATTGTTCAGTTCCCACCTATGAGTGAGAACATGCAGTGTTTGGTCTTTTTGTTCTTGCGATAGTTTGCTGAGAATGATGATTTCCAGCTTCATCCATGTCCCTACAAAGGACATGAACTCATCCTTTTTTATGGCTGCATAGTATTCATGGTGTATATGTGCCACATTTTCTTAATCAAGTGTATCACTGATGGACATTTGGGTTGGTTCCAAGTCTTTGCTATTGTGAATAGTGCCACAATAAACATACGTGTGCATGTGCCTTTATAGCAGCATGATTTATAATCCTTTGGGTATATACCCAGTAATGGGATGGCTGGGTCAAATGATACTTCTAGTTCTAGATCCTTAAGGAATCGCCACACTGTCTTCCACAATGGAACAGTGGTCCTATAAGATTATAATAAGTCTGAAAAATGCTTTACAGCCTAGTGACATTTTGATGATCTTGACCCTATGTGGGTCTAGGCTAATGTATATGTTTGCGTCTTAGTTTTTAACAAAAAAATTTAGAGTAAAAAAAAAAATCTAAAAATTTACAAATAGAAAACCTGTTATAGAATAAGAATATAAACAAAAATATTTTTGTACGGATTCACAAAAGATGTTTTAAAATGTGCTATTACAAAAAAGTCAAGAAGTTAAAAAATTAAAATGTGTATAAAGTAAAAAAGCAACAGTAAGGTAAGATTAATTTTTATTGAAGATATAAATTTTAAAATAAATTTAGTGTAGCTCTGGGTGTATGGTGTTTATAAAGTGTAGAGTAGTATACACTATTCTCCCAGGCCTTCATATTACTCCCTCTTCATTCACTGACTCAGAGAAACTTCTAGTCCTGCAAGCTTCATTCATGGTAGGTATACTAAACAGTTGTACCATTTTAAATATTTTATAATTATTTACAGTACCTTTTTATGATTAGATATGCAAAGACTTAACATTGTTTTACAGTTGCCAGTAGTATTCAATATGGTAACATGCTGTACAGATGTGTAGCCTAGGAGTAATATATTATACCATATAGCCTACATGTGTAGTAGGCTATACTATCCAGGTTTGTATAAGTACACTCTACAATGTTCACATAATGACAAAATCACCTAACAACGCATTTCTTACAACATATCTTAGAACATTTCTTAGAACACTATTAAGTTATGTGTAACTGTACTTATTCCCAAACTCATCAAGTTGTATACATTAAATATGTACAGCTTTTGTATTAAATCTCAATAAAGTAATTTTTAAAAATGAAGACAGTTAATACTTTGTGAAAATTTTCTTAAAGAATGGCAAGATTTTTATTTTTTCCTTAACATTTTGAGTATAAGAGACAAAGTTATTTTTCTAAATCACATTAAATCCTGGTTGCATAATCACGTTTCAAGGTTGGTGAAAATTTAATATTGGTCATTTTCTCTTGCCTAGTGTTGTAAGTGGCTCCCAAGCCTCTGTGGCTGCATAAACTGCTCTTGTTTATTCCTGGAAACTAATGAACATGCTTGCCCTCTTCATTTTCTTTTCTCCATTCTGTTATTTCTTCAGAAGAAGGAATTATGCTTACCTGGATTTCTACCATTGTTTGTGTAGGACACTAAAATATGTGTTAACACATTGGAGGTTCCATCCCTTCTTTGCCAATCTTGTACTTAGAGGTCCTCTAACCTACGTTAAAGCCAGAACCTAAACCTCAGAAACATGTGTATAGCTTTTAGACTATCAAGCTAAGTTTTGTTTTTTCTTCAACTGACCCAGACTTTCGTAAGAAAAGACTGATTAAGGTATGCCTTTAAGATACCACTTCTCAACTTTTATTTATTTATTTTTTGCCCTAAAAAAAAATATCACTTTACTACTTTTTGGATACCAGGAGTGAAAGAGAGCCCATAACTTAGGCATTAAGGCCTGACTACTCTGTTGGAAAGAGTGAAAAGAACTACTTTCAAAGACTATACAGGAAGGTCTTTCAATGTATATTGGGGCCACGATTACTAAAAATGCTTCCTCTCAGGATGAGGCTTGTCTTTTCATTTACCTAATGATGTCTTTCAAAGTGAAGATATTTTTAATTTTGGTGAAGTCCAGTTTGTATCATTTTTGTCTTTTATGTTTTTTTTGTGTCATTTAAGAATTGTTCTCCTAAAATTGTAGAGTGTTTTTAAAGAATTTTTTCTTGATGTTTTATAGTTTTAACATTTTTATGTTTCTGTTTTTTAATTAAATCTCCAGGCCAATAGTCTCCAATTCTTAATTTTTTTCTTCATTTTAAAGTTTTTAAATTAAATTTTTTGTCATTTTTAGTTTGCACATAATGATTGTACATATTTGTTACAGAGCTATATTTTGATACAATGTGTAATGAACAAACCAGAAATGCATGAGTTTTAGTTTTTGAATTTAGGACCAAACCAGAAGTGCATGAGATTTAGTTTTTATACTTAGGACCATGCTCCATTTCAAGTTACCTTTTTGGATAAACTGTAAGGTAAACATCATGATTCACTTTTTCCCATGTACATAAATGGTTCTTTTAGTAACATTTCTTTTAATGACTATCCTTTACACATTGACTCACTGTGGTGTCTTTGTCAACAATCAGTTGATTGTGTATGAGTTGGTTTATGTCTAGACTCTGTTCTGTTGATTTACATGTCTATTTCTATGCCAGTACCATGATTTTTTAACTGCTAAGGTTTTACAGTAAATCTTGAAAATAGGTAGTGTAAGTTCTCTATATTCTTTCCTCTTTTATCAAATTAAAGTTATTTCAGCTATTTTAGGTCTCTGTATTCCCCAAAACATTTTAGATATAGTTTGTTGATTTCTACAGAAAAAGCCTGCTGGGAATTTGATTGACATTGTAACAAATGTACACATCAATTTGAAAGGAATTGACATCTCAATAATATTTAGTCTTCTAATCCATAGGCATGGTGTATGTCTCCATTTGTGAAGGTCTTAATTTCTTTCAGCAATATTTTGTAGATTTTATTGTACCAGTCTTATATATTTTACTAAATATCCGTAAGTACTTTGGCACTGTTGAATGTGATTGTAAATTGTCATTTATGTCATTCTCTAATTGTGTTACTAGTCTGTAAAAAAATATTCTATAAAATACCTTTGTTTTCTGCAACTTTGTCTAACTTATTCATCAGTTTTTTTCTCCCTTACAGCTTTCTGCATACATGATTATATCATCTGTGAATAAAGAGAGTTTCTTCTTGCCGCAAGAGAGTTCCTTTATGCCTTGTATTCGGGTTTTCTTGCCTTATTTTACTGACTAGGACCTCCACTTTAATTTTGAACAGAAGTGGTGAGATAAAGTACCAAAATTATTTATAGCAAAAGTGCTATGTTATAGAAATATTATTCTCTTATACATCAGCTGAAGTAGATAGCAGTCACAAATATCAAAAAGCTCATCATAGCTTAGCAGATATGTGTTTCTGAAGAGAACAAAAATCACAGTTATGATATCAAAAAAGTTATAATTTGGCCTAAGCCAATACCTAGTTCCATACTTCTGACTGAGTTATTTAAACTACTAAAAATACAGTTAAATGAAGATAACTATGTCTGCTTCATACCATGTTGTAGTCGTGACTCTTTCAGATTCAGATTACAAAAGTCCAACTCTGCTAATTTATATTAAAAACAAATAACATTTATTTACTTCTGAAAAAAATCTAGCAGTACATCAGGCATCTGGCCAAATGGTGTTTTCAGGCCTCACTCTCTCCTCAAATTCGCTCAGCAGGCTGTCTCCATCTGGTATCCAATATGACTCCCCGAGGCTCCGGGCTAACTTGAAGAAGGAGAGTGCCCCCTTCCTGATGATTCTAATAAAAGGCCCAAGAATGATACTGGTAGCCAGGAGATGCTATGGTCTGATAGCTCATGTCCAGATTATCTTAGCAACCTTGAAACAAGGAGATAAAGTTAGTCCCACTTGAATGACATTGTCTAAGAGTGAGAGAGAGGTGGCTCATCAGAATTAGTAGTCATTATCAGAAAAGGAGAAGGAATTCTGGGAATGCAAATATAGAAACAACAACAAAAACACATCACTACTATTTGACTAAACAAAATTTTTCTAACAAAGCAGGGTATCAACCATACTACTTAAGAGCCATTTGTAGTTTCTTAATGAAGAGAATAGAAACAAATATCAGAAAGCATTTTGTACTATAATTTTTTGTGTATGTAAGTAATTGCATAGATCTTATTTCAGACTATGAGTTCAGGTATTTTCAGCTAATTTCTTGTTGTCTCCCTAAAGTTTTAAGTTGAAAAAAAATCACTTTTATTGCTGTTGTGTATATATCTGGACCATACTTGACATTCAGAGAAGCGATTCTAGTGTGCTGAGTAGACAAAACCAGGAAAACAGGATTATTTACAACATGTATTTCTTCATGTATTATTTCTTCTGAGTTACTTGTGAATGCTTCATTCTCTGAAAGAACTTGGAGTCTAGGGAGGTATTCCTTTAACCTTATTATTTTCTCCTTAGGCAGAAAGATCAATCTGCATTTATAACAGTAATGGGTACAGCAAGGCATATCCTCGTGCTTTGTTCTCCTAGAATTTTCTTCACACTGTAGTCAAATCCCCTTCAATATTAGATAAGCCATTTAAAACAGAATCACAAAATAAATAAATAAAAATCACGATGATGACAGCTAGTGCTGAGAAATGGTTGATCAATGCAAATCCGGATCTCTTAGTTGAATAGATGATCTCATTTCTAAGAGTAGTTGTACATGAGACCACCATGAATTTTAACCTAGCAGTCGTGCCTTTACTTTGAATCCCATGATGATAGATTGAATTATCTCTGTCGCCTTGAGGAGATTTCTACTTCTATGTTAGAGCTTAAAGAAGAAAAAGAAAGCAAAGCTTTCTCAAGTACAACCCTGGCTGAGAAACAGTATGAACAATAGTTAATTTTCGTAAATAACAAGCAATCTTTCTATGATTGTGTGATCTCTTTTAAAATCATCTGGTCTGTCTTTTAGAGAAACTCATGTTACTCTATCCCTCTCTTTATTTTACACTCACATTTCAAGGGCTTAACTTTCTCCTCAACATGAGGAAGAGCTGCAGGGACTTAAATGTTTTCACCTTGAGGATATACTGAGTCATGAACTATGAATAATATTTTCTCTAACCAGCTTTAGGTAATTAATGGAACATACTTTTTCTTTTACCCTTATTTTTCATATATTTTCTATGAATCCAGTCATTTCCAAAAATTTTCAACAAAATATTAGCAAACCAAATCCCAGTAGCACATCAAAAAGTTCATTCACCACAATCAAGTAAGCTTTATTCTTGAGATTAAAGGTTGGCTCAACATATGCAAATCAATAAATGTGATTCACCACATAAAAATAATCAAAAACAAAACCCACATGATCATCTCAACAGACACAGAAAAAGCTTTCAATAAAATCCAACATGATAAAAGAAAAAGCTCAACAAACTAGGCATCAAAGTTACATCAAAATAATAAGGTCATCTATGACAAACCCACAGCCAACATCACACAGAATGAGCAGAAGTTGGAACAATTCCCCTTGATAACTGGAACAAGACAAGAATGCCCAATCTTACCACTGGTATTTAACATAGTACTGGAAGTCCTAGCCAGACCATTCAGGCAAGAGAAATAAATAAAAGACATTCAAATAGGAAAACCAGAAATCTATCTCTTTTCACTCACAATATGATTCTATACCTAGAAAAAATCTAAAGACTCTGCCAAAAGGCTCTTGGAAATGATAAGCTACATCAGTAATGTTTCAGGCTACAAAATCAATTTACAAAAATCAGTACTACTTCTATAGCCAATAATATTCAAGCTGAGAGCCAAATAAAATATGCAATCCCATTTACAATAGCCACACGAAAAATAATAGAATACCTTGGAATACATCTCACCAGGAAGGTGAAAGATTTCTACAAGAAGAACTACAAAACACTACTCAAAGAAATCATAAATGACAAATAAATGGAAAAACATTCCATGCTCATGGACTGGAATAATCAATATCATTAAAATGTCCATACTGGCCAAAGCCAATTACAGATTCAATGCTATTCCTATCAAACTACCAGTGTCTGCTTTTACAGAATTAGAAAAAAAACTGTTCTAAAATTTATATGAAAACAAAGATGAGCCTGAATAACCAAATTAATCCTAAGCAAAAATAACAAAGGCAGAGGCATCACATTACTCAACTTCAAATTCTGCTACAAAGCTGTAGTAACCAAAACAGCATGGTATTGGTATAAAAACAGACACGTATACCAATGGAACAGAGTAAAGAATCCAGAAATAAAGCCACATACCCACAGCCATCGGATCTTTGACACAATTGACAAAAGTAGGCAAAGGGGAAATTACTCCCTGTTCAATAAATAGTGCCAAGATAATTGGCTATTCATATGCAGAAGAATAAAACTGAAACCCTATCTATCACCATGTACAAAAATTAACTCAAGATGGATTAAAGACTTAAACATAAGGCCTCAAAATATAAAAATCCTAGAACAAAACTTAGGAAATACCATTCTGGATATTGGCCTTGGCCAAAAATATATGGCTAAGTCCTCAAAAGCAACTGAAACAAAAACAAAAATTGGCAGTGGGATATAATTAAACTAAAGAGCTCCTGCACATCAAAAGAAGCTGTCAACAGAGAAAACAAACATCTTACAAAATGGGAGAAAATTCTCACAAACCATGTGTGTCACAAAGGCCTAATATCCAGACTCTATAAGGAACACAAAACAATCAAAAAGCAAGAAAACAAGCCCATTAAATGTAGACCAAGGACACCAACAGACACTTCTTGAAAGAAGATATACAAGCAGCAAACAAACATATAAAAAATGCTTATCATCACTCATCATCATAGAAATGTAAATCAGAACCACAATGACATACCATTTCACACCAGTCAGAATGTCTATTATAAAAATGTCGAAAAATAACAGATGTTGGCAAGGCTGCAGAGGAAAAGGAATGCTTCTACAATGTTGGTGAGAAGGTAAATCAGTTCAGTCACTATGAAAAGCAGTTTGGAGATTTCTCAAAAACCCAAAAATGGAACTACTATTCAACCCAGCAATCCCATTACTGGGTATATACCCAAAGAAAAAGAAATTGTTCTACTAGAAAGACAAAAATATCTGTATGTTCATTTCAGCACTATTCACGATAGCAAATACATGGAATCACCTTAAGTGCCTATCAACAATGTCTTGCATAAAGAAAATGTGGTATATACACCATAGAATATAGCCATAGAAAAAGAACAAAATCATGTCCGTTGCAGCAAAATGGATGCAGCTGGAGGCCATTATCCCAAGTGAATTAATGTGGAAACAGAAAACCAAATACCACATGTTCTTATAAGTGGTAGCTAAACATTGGGTACACATGGACATAAAGGTGGAAACGATAAACACTAATGAATACCAGAGGCGAGAAGGATGGAAGGGACCAAGGGTTGAGAAACTACCTATTGTGTACTATGCTCACAACCTGTGTGCAATGGATTCCATACCTCAAACCTCAGCATCATGCAATATACCCTCATAACAAAACTGTTCATGTGCCCCCTGAATCTAAAATAAAATTTGAAAAAGAATATAAAAGATGTCTACTATATTTGGTAATTCTCATTGTTCATTTTCTCAATATGTAAAATTGAGATACGTGTGAGTATCTGAATTAATAACAAGTTGATATAATAAGTACGTTGTAAAGCATTTGCTTGGAGCTTGGAACATCTTTTCTTTATATCAAGTGATGTTTCAGTTTCAAAACCAATATTCAAAATCATCTTTAACCTTTTATTTATCTGAAATAAGTGTATAGAAATAAAGTTTATATGGAAAAAAATTTTCTGTGAAAAAGTCTGAGTTCCATTTTAGATGGCAGGAGCACATCTCCTCCACAGTGCAGATAAAATGACTCACCCTCTATTCCTAAGCATCTTTTTGGTGGGTTAGAGTATTAGAGGAGCCCACCAAGAATAAATTATCAGTTGTGTTTATGACTCCAAAAAATGTACAGAATGAATATCAACAATTCTCTCTGGAAAGCTTTGTTGGGTGCTTTGTGATACAAGTTCCCTTAGGTCTGGCTTTTATTTATAAATGCCTCACTTATTACTGGAGGGGGAGGGGAAGGGCAAGAACCTTTGTGCTTAGCCCAATGGCGGTGCTTATGACATCATATTTAATTGTTTATTTACTGATCTCTCTCTTCTAGTATACTAAACATTTTAGGGCAAAACTATAGTCTGTTCACAATGGTTCTCACAGTTCCCACAACAGTACAGAGAGGTGCAAAATAAGTATTGTTTAATCAACGAACTTGGAATGAAGAGAAACCTAACTAGGATGACAAGAATGAAAGCTGAAGAATTTCAGTGGTAGAAGCTCATAAAGCTCAGAAACTGCACAGGTGTGAGAGATCTTATGAAACTTCTTTGTTCTCAGATATCTGCCTTCTGTCTCTTGTGACCATTCTTGCTTGTCTTTATAACATAGCCAAGTTCCCTTCACAGAAGAATAGAGTGACTCCTTTACCATTCAAGCTTCTGTGGCTGAAGCTATCACAGAGACATTTAAAATTTTTAAAAGTGATTTTGCTAATAGTAACAAGGTAGAAATATATATGAAAACTGAGCTTTCTCATATATTTTTACTGTTTAGAATATGCATGTATGAAGGACAAGACTATTGTGCACACCCATGCTGAATTTCTCTGTACACCAAAGGCTGATGGAAGAAGATTCAATTGGATTTGAATGTAATATTAGTGACCAACCTTTCTGAGCATTTCATTGCATGCAGCAAACAAGAGTAGGTAGTTTAAAAGTGAAAGTAAGGTAGACTCTGGAAGGCAATGAAAAAATAAGAGAAGTGAGATTAGGATCAAGATACAATAGAATAGTGTTCCCTTGTTTAAGTGGCTGTGTGTGTGTGTGTGTGTGTATGCAGGCCATTACTGCAGGAGATGAAAAAATAATCACATTGTTAGACCATCTTTTACTTCTCATTCCCCATGCCCTCTTCCAGTCCTGCTAGCAGAGATCCCATCATGGACCCACCTTTGTGCAAGAAGATATGTGAGGTGTGAGTAGAAGGAGAAAAGGAGGAAACAGGAGAAAATTCTAAGTTGCAGTGAGAAGGGAAGAGAAAAATCAAGCACATGCAGAAGACACAGGTAGAATACCCACGAAGAGTGCCCACCCTTAAAGGATAAAATCCTTCCAATATATTTGGTTATGGAGATTTTTGCCAAAACTTTTGTGGGGTCATCACTGTTGCACTTCCTTGTCATTTCTAGATCCTTGGCACACTCAATATCTTCCAAGCTAATCACCACTTGATGGTTTTGGGTTACAACTTTCCTTAATATAATGGTGCTCCCTTAATATCAGTGTCTGGGAAGGGGTAAATAAAAGGCAGTGTATATATTACTTTACTGCTTCAGCTTAATATTTCCTCATACCTCCTGAAAAGTCTGTATAAATACATTCAGTATTTTCTAAAAAGTTAGGAGTATAGAGAATTACAATAGTGAGTTTACATTGTCTATCAAACAAACCCTTAAAACTGGGGATCTGGCATGTCCGCTTATAAAAACATCCCCTGTCAACCCACTGGGAGTTCCTTCTGATGGCCTGTCTTCCCCAGGATCCAGACTGTAGCCTCTGATCATGTTATTCCCTCTTCTCTTGCTTCTCTTTCTTCTCCTTGCTTCTCTTTCTTCTCCCGCTTACCATACCCCTGAATTCTTATTACTTATCTTGGAAAAGGGGTTTAATTACATATTTCTTGCTTTCTAGACCACGTTCTTTACACTTTATTTCTTGTAGCCAATGCAGTTGAGCAAGGTAGTTTCTTAAAGCCAGAGGAACTCTGTTACTAGTTGTCCAGATGATTAAGAAAATAACTCACTTACGAATGTATTTATCAGGCATTACTGAACTCTAACTTAGTTCCAGGCATTATGCTGTGCACACAGCATATAAAAATGAAGAAGACATCAAGACTAACTTAAAAGTTATACTCTTAAGAAAGAGGTAGAAAGAAAAATAATTTATTGGTATATGATATGCTGGTGTCAGAAATAACCACTGGGCATTATGTATACATTAGGAAATTGGCAGCAAGCATCATGTTTGGCTTCCTGGAGGAGACGACAACTGAGTTAAGTCTAAAAGAGAGCTAACACTTAGCCAGAGGAAGGAGATGGATGGTTGTAGTGTGGATATGGGAAAAAAAAATTATTCCAGGTAGAGTAAATAAATGAAAAGGAGAAGTAGCATGGCCAGCATGAGTAAGGTGAGCAGTTTATTGTCACTGGAATATTTAGTAGAAAGAACTCATGGGTAAATAAACTATAGTGATAGGCAGAGATCAGTTCACAGAGTGCCGCCTTTGTCACATTGAGTAGCTTGAACTTTGTGCTGTAGATGTTTTAAAGAAGTGGTTAAGTACATTAGTTGGAAATAGACATGAAGAGAAAGGAATTCAATTCTTTCAGTAGAAGTATTCAATATTTAAGCTTAAGGCAATGACAGCAAGGAAGGAGAGTGATCAGAATTGGATTAGGATGTTGTTATGGTTTGAATGTGTCCCTAGAAAAGCATGTGTTGAAAACTGAATCCCCAGCGCAACAGTGTTGAGAGGCCTACTGGGAGGTATTTAGGTAACAAGAGCTCTACCCTCATGAATGGATTAATGCCAATTATAAAAAGGCTTGAGACTGTGAGTTCAGTCTCTCTCTCTCCTCCCCCCGTCCCCCGCCCCACCACCCCACTCCTTCCCTCTCTCTCTTTCATGGGTGTGCTCTCTTGCCTTTCTACCACCTGCCATGGGGTAATGCAGCAAGAAGGCCTATGCCAGATATGGGCCCATGACCTTGGGCCTCCCAGTCTTCAGGTCTGTAATAAATAAATCTCTCTTCTTTATAAAGTACCCAGGCTCAGCTTCTCTATTATAGCAATGCAAAATGGACTAAGACATGTATTATTTACAAGATAAAATCTGTTCAGTTTAATGACTTGGTTTGGTGAGCCACAGAAGGGGCCACCTGAAGGAGACTGCCTTTGGTTGTGACTGGAAATGGATTAATATAAGAGTAGAGGAGATAACTTTCTTTTTTATCCTTAGAAGAAATCACATTATTATTACCCATTAAGATACATTTTTTCAATGATGAAAAATTTGCAACTATCCATTGTAAAATATGTTTTCAGTGGTTGTTTTTGTAATCTGCCCAGGCCAAAATTGTATACTTGATATATTGGCCAGCATTTGAAATAGAAATAGCATATTTTCAATCACAATAAATATGCTGTAAAGACAAGTTCAATGCTTATCTTAATTGGCTAACAGATAATCAGACTCATGGTGCTGTTTAATCCATTAGCATTAACAAGGTAGTGATAGGTTTTATCAATACTGACACTTGTTTGGCACCTGGAAAATAATAATTTACAATTGCAACCAACACTTCTTCATTAACAACAGTGTGTTAACCCTAATTGTTTCCAATTCTAAAATTCTGTTATATCACACTGTGAAATGTATTGCCACTACTTCACTATGTTAATAGTTGAGGGCTCACTACTGAAAGTGTCAGTTGTGGACAGAAGCATCCATATCACACAGGAAATTATTAAAGATAAAGAATCGTAGGTCTCACTCAAAGCCTATTGAATCAGAAACTTCATTTTAGCATGATTTTCAGATGATCCATCATGGTATTAAAATTTAAGAAGCATTTACCTACAATGTTGGATTGACTGAACATCAGAATTATGTAGGAGACTTCCAGTAACTGGCAATGGAAAAGAATCTAAATCAGAATAACACTCCTTCCAAAAAGAGTGACAAACTTTGGAAAGCTGTTTTGAGGCATAGAAGAACAATGACGACCAGGGAGATATTACAGCAATTACACACTTAAAGGAAGAGAACCAGAGCTAGATTTTCCCCTTTACATAGCTTTGCTCTGAGGATACTATTCAGTCAACAAAATGTACTGGTAGGGAAAGTTCAAGCAGAGAGCCTGTGGACCTAAGGAGTCAGAAGTTGAAGCACAGGGGTGCTCCTATGGCTGGAAAATACCACAGAACAGGCAGTTGCAGAATGTGACTTTATATAAAACCATCTTGAAATCCTAGGCTGATTTATAAAATGTACCCACGGGGGTTGAATCTCTAAGCAGCCAAAGGGAAAGTAAGTGAAAGACTGGAGGAAGTTAGAGTAGATTTGAGCTGTAGGCACAAAAAGGGAGACAGAATTTGTTAATATTTTATATTGTTTTCTTCTTTTATTTTGTTACTTTCTGGTCTTTATTACAGCATTCCTTACTTTGTTATTACTTTGCCCTACTTTTCTAGTTTCTTAGGTATAAATTTAGGTCATTGGTTTTCTACCTTTTTTATAATCATAAAATCAACATATGGTCATGAAAAACTAATAAACTTTCCTCTAATAACTCTCTTAGTATCCCCCAAATTTTGATGTGTTCTAATTGAATTATCATTCAGTTTGAAATATTTTAAAATTTGCTCTATGATTTAATAGTTTGTCCATAGATTATTTAGATGTGTGCCATTCAACTCCTGATGGGGATTTCCTAGACAGAATATTACTGTTATTAATGCTTCAGTTAATTCTATTACTAAGTAGAACAGAGTCTGTATGCTAATGGTTTATTAAAATTTATGGGCCGGGCGCGGTGGCTCACGCCTGTAATCCCAGCACTTTGGGAGGCCAAGGTGGGTGGATCACTAGGGCAGGAGATCGAGTCCATTCTGGCTAACACGTGAAACACCGTCTCTACTAAAAAATACAAAAAATTAGCCGGGCATGGTGGCGGGCGCCTGCAGTCCCAGCTACTCGGGCGGCTGTGGCAGGAGAATGGCATGAACCCGGGAGGCGGAGCTTGCAGTGAGCCGAGATCGCGCCACTGCACTCCAGCCTGGGCGACCGAGCGAGACTCCGTCTCGAAACAAAACAAAACAAAACAAACAAAACAAAACAAAACAAAACATTATGGGCACCTGTATCATGACTCAGAATATGACCAATCTTGATAAACATAGCATGTTCACTTGAAAAAAAAATTATATTCTGAAGTTATTACACTGTTACGTATGTATGTGTTTATTACACTGTTATGTATTTTGTCTAAATATAATGGTTGCCAGTGCTGTTCAGTTCTTCTAGGTTTTTACAATTTTTGCCTCTCATCCTATCAATTGATAAGAGTTTTAAAATCTCCGGTTATGATTGCAGAATTATGTACTTTAATTCCGTTAACTTATGATTCATGTAATTTGAGGCTGTTATTAGGCATATATACATTTCTGATCATTGTCTTCCTGATTAAATAACTCTTATAGTTATAAAATGTTATTTCCTATCTTGGTAGTACTCTGTCTTAAAGTCTATTTTATCTAAAATTGTCTTATGTGGACAGGACATAGGTTTTGTTTCTTATCAATGACGATAACTTCTGCCTTCTGATTAGATTGTTTTACCTAATACTATTTAATGAAATTAATGATGTACTTGGAATTAGCTCTACCATTTTATTTGCTTGTGTTCATCTCCTCTGTCTTCCCCACCAATTCATCCTTTCCTATATTACTTTTTATTAATAATTAGTGTTCTGGTTCAATTTATCTACTGGCTTTTTACTTAGACATCTGAATATCTTTTTTGCAGTTGCTCTGTAGGTTAAGTATGCATTTTTAACTTTTTTATAGTCTATTTTGTGTAGTGTTGTACCACTTCCCATAAAATGTAGAAACCCTGGTACTCTATAGGACTATTTATTCCACCCTGCCAATCCTTTGCACCTGTCACATAGATCATATTTACATAAGTTATAAACTATACAACAAAGTTGAAATTTTTAGTCATACAAATTTTAAATAAAGAAGAAAAATCTTCTGTTTATAAATATTTACCATTGCTAGTGTTCTTCATTTCTTCCTGAATATCTGAGTTTCTATTTGGAATCATTTTTCTTCAACTTGAAAAACTTTACTAAACATTCTCTGTGGTTCATGTTTGACAAATTCTCTTATTTATCTGTTATTTGAAATTGTGATAGGTTGATGATTTATTTTCTTTCAACTCTTTGAGAATGTAATCCCATTGTCTCAGGCCCACATAGTTTCTAATGTGTGTTCTTGGGTTTGAGTATTACTGAGCCAGTTGAAAATGGGGTGATACTAATCCATGAAATGAAATAAATTAAATTAAAACCCAATAAGCAATACAAAATACTTAAAAAGTTAAAATTAATAATATCTAGTCAGGACTGACCAGAAAAAACACAAATTATTTATAATTACCTATATCTGTCTGAGGTATTTTCAGACACCAACCAAGTCTCTGCTTCTCTGCACATACCAACTGGGTGTCCAACAATTCAATTGAATTCTGACACTAACCACTGACAGTCAGAGTCAGACTCCACAAGATTAAGGGTTCAGCCACACAAGATTGCCCTCAGGTCAGATGACAGTCATATGTATCAGGTCACCCATACTTCTGATCAAACAGCTATAAAGCAGGCATTCTTGCTGGGCGTGGTGGCTCATGCCTATAATACCAGCACTTCGGGAGGCCAAGGCAGGCAGATCACTTGAAGTCAGGAGTTCAAGACCAGGCTGACCAACATGGTGAAACCTTGTCTCTACTAAAAATCCGAAAATTAACTGGCCATGGTGGTGCGTAACTGTAGTCCCAACTACTTGGGAGGCCGAGGCAGGAAAACTGAATTGCTTGAATCCGGGAGGCGGAGGTTGCAGTGAGCCGAGATCGCAGCCACTGCACTCCAGCCTGGGCAACAGAGTGAGACTCCATCTCAAAAACAACAACAACAACAAAACAACAACAACAACAACAAAACAGGCATTCTAACTACTCCCTCCTCATGTCCAATAATTTGATAGGATGGCTCATAGAAATCAGGAAACCACTTACCATTTACTAGTTTGATATAAAGGATATGAATGAACAGTCAGATGAAGTGGTACATAGGGTAAGGTTAACAAGGGTCCCACGTGCAGTAGTTTCTGTCCCTGTGGAGTGGGGTATGCCACTCTCCTGGTACAAGGCTATGTTCACCAATTCAGAATCTCACTGAAGCTCTTTGTTCAAAACTTTATAGAGCTCAATCTCTAGCTTCAATCTCCTTCCCCAGAGGTCATCGGGTGGGGCTGCTAATTTCAACCCTCTAATCACGTGGGCTTTCTGGTGGCCAGCCTAAACATGAGGCTATTTAGGGGCATCATCCTGATTACCTCATTAGCACAAACTCAGGTATGATGAAAGGGTCTTGTTATGAACAACCAAAGACATTCCTATTACTCAGGAAATTTCAAGGATTTTAGGAGCTCTGTGCCAGCAACTGGGGACACAGATCAAACATATTTTATATTATATCACAATCTGGAACAGAAGGGTGCACATTATTATATATTAATATATATTATATATATAAACATAAAACTTTCCTAAGAAATTAAAGGAAAGTAAATAGGATATTTTGGGGGAAGAAGTAAAATGATACCAAGGTCAAAAGGCTAGACCTACACAAAGGAATTCAAAACATCACCAGTGAAAATTATATATTAAAAAAAGACTTATTTTCTTACTTTGAAAAATCTCTGTTAAATATAATTTAGTATCTAAAGAAAATAAATAATATATCATGCTATTTATAGCAAATGTAGAAGTAAAATACGAAAATTATCAGTATGAAAGCCTAGAGCTATGCAGTGGAAGTATACTGTTGTAAGGTTCTTATGTGTAAAGAAGTATAATATTACTTGAAGTTAGACTTTAATAAAATTAACCCTAAGACAACCATGAATAGAAAAAAAATCACAGAGGTATAGCTAAAATTTCAACAAAGGAGACAAAACACGATCATAAAATATGCAATTAATTTTTAAAAAGGTAAAAAAGGGACAAAAGGAAACAAAAAATGGATGAGATAGATTTAAACAATCTGGTAGATTTAAGTCCAAACATATCAATAATCACATTAAATGTAAATAGTCTAAACATTCTAATTTTTAAAAGATATTTTAAGATTAAATAAAAAAACAAAACCCACATATGAAGTGTACAGAAGATCTCACATTAATAGATAGATACATAGAAAGTAAAAAGAAGGTAGATATTCCATGCTAAAACTAATAGAAGAAAGCTGGAATGACTACGTTAATATCAGAAAAACTGTATTTCACAGCAAGAAATATTGTTAAAATAAAGAGAATTATTTCAGGATAATTAAGGGGGTCAATTTACCAAGTTGACATAATAATTCTAAATGATCGTACACCTAAAATCTGAGTTTAAAAACAGATTAAGCAAAAACTGATAGAACTTAAAGACATATGAGAGAAGATTCTGAGAAGATGGCAGAGTAAGAAGCACTAGGAATCTGTCCACTCACCCGGACAACAATTGCACTGTCAGAATCTGTCTGATTTAACTATGTTGGAACTCTGGAGTCTACCAAAGGTTTGAAACTTCCAAGGGAAGGCTTGGACAGGATATTGCTGTTAATTTCTGTCAGTTTCAGTCTTTGGCACAAAAGCAGCTACCAATCCACACATCCTCAGCCCTGTGATAGTCAGCTGTACACATGTTCCTGGAGAATTTGCAAGAACCAGGGTGATGGTCTTAGTCTGTTCATGCTGCTGTTATAAAAATCCTTTAAATATGGCAGCTTATATAGAACAGAAATTCATTTCTCACAGTTTTAGTGTCTGAGAAATCGAAAATCAAAGCAGATTTGGTGTCTGGTAAAAGCCTGCTTTCTGGGTCATTGATGGTACCTTCTTGTCCCAATCCCACATGATGGAAGGGGCAAAGCAGTTGGAATCGCTTATAAAGTCACCAATTCCATTCATGAGAGCTCCACTTTCATGACCTAACCACTTCCCCAAAGCCTCACTTCCTAATAATACCACTCTGTGCATTATAATTTCACCATATGAGTTTTGGAGGAACACAAATATTCAGATCTTAGCATTACTGTGTTCGGAATTGGTGGGTTCTTGGTTTCACTGACTTCAAGAATGAAGCCGCGGACCCTCGCGTGAGTGTTACAGTTCTTAAAGGCAACATGTCTGGAGTTTGTTCCTTCTGATGTTCAGATGTGTTTGGAGTTTCTTCCTTCTGGTGGAGATTCCTGGTCTCGCCGGCTTCAGGAGTGAAGCTGCAGACTTTCGCGGTGAGTGTTACAGCTGTTAAGGCGGTGCATCTGGAGTTGTTCGTTTCTCCCCTCCTGAGTTGTTCATTCTGCCCAGTGGGTTCATGGTCTCACTAGCTTCAGGAGTGAAGCTGCAGACCTTCACGGTGAGTGTTACAGCTCATAAAGGCAGTGCAGACACAAAGAGTGAGCAGCAGCAAGATTTATTGCAAAAAGCTAACGAACAAACCTTCCACAGTGTGAAAGGGGACCCCAGCAGGTTACCACTGCTGCCTTGGGCAGCCTGCTTTTATTCCCTTATCTGGCCCCACCCACATCCTGCTGATTGGTCCATTTTACAGAGAGCTGAATGGTCTGTTTTACAGAGAGCTGATTGGTCTGTTTTGACAGAGTGCTGATTGGTGTGTTTACAATCCCTGAGCTAGACACAGAGCGCTGATTGGTGCGTTTACAATCCTCTAGCTAGACAGAAACGTTCTTTAAGTCCTCCCCAGATGAGCTAGATACGCAGTGCTGATTGGTGCATTTACAAACCTTGAGTTAGACACAGAGTGCTGATTGGTGCATTTACAAACCTTGAGCTAGACACAGAGTGCTGATTGGTGCATTTACAATCCTGTAGCTAGACATAAAAGTTCTCCAAGTCCCCACCAGATTAGCTAGATACAGAGTGCTGATTGGTGCATCCATAAACCCTGAGCTAGACACAGAGTGCTGATTGGCGCATACACAATCCTCCAGCTAGACATAAAAGTTCTCCAAGTCCCCACCAGATTAGCTAGATGCAGGGTGCTGATTGGTGCATCCACAAACCCTGAGCTAGACACAGAGTGCTGCTGGCGCATACACAATCCTCCAGCCAGACATAAAAGTTCTCCAAGTCCCCACTTGACTCAGGAGCCCAGCTGGTTTTGCCTAGTGGATCCCTTGCTGGGGCTGCCAGCGGGGCACGCCTGCACTCCTCAGCCCTTGGGCGGTAGATAGGAACCAGCGCTGCGGAGCAGGGGACAGCGCCTGTCGGGGAGGCTGGGGATCCGCGGGGGGGCTTCGGCATGGTGGGCTGCAGGTCCTGAGCCTTGGGAAGGTGGCTGAGGCTGGGTGAGAATTCAAGCATAGCGTGGGCAGGCCAGCAGTGCTGGGGGACCCGGGCACCCTCTGCAGCTGCTGGCCGGGGTGCTAAGCCCTTCACTGCCGGGGCCGGTGGCGCCGCCGGCTGCTCCAAGTGCGGGACCCACCTAGCCCACGCCCACCCGGAACTCGCGGTGGCCCACGAGCACCATGGCGCAGCCCCGGTTCCTGCCCACACCTCTCCCTCCACACCTCCCAGCAAGCAGAGGGAGCCGGCTCTGGCCTCGGCCAGCACAGAGAGGTGCTCCCACAGTGCAGCCCCGGGTGAAGGGCTCCTCAGGCACGGCCAGAGTGGGCACCGAGGCCGAGGAGGCGCTGAGAGCGAGCGAGGGCTGCCAGCAGGCTGTCACCTCTCATTGTGACTTTGGGCCCCCCAAATTAATGTTCTTCTTGCACGGAAAATATATTTATTCCATCGCACTAGCCCAAACAACTAGTGCCAATATCAACCAAAGCCTAAAGTCTCATCTAAACATCATCAAAATCAGGTATTGGTGAAACTCAACATGTAATTCATTCTGAGTAAAATTCTCCCTCAGCTGTGAGCCTCTGAAATCAAGCAGGTTGTGTGCTTCCAAAATACAATGACGGGACAGGCATAGGACATACATTCCTATTAGGTTGGTGCAAAAGTATTTGCCATTTTTGCCATTTTTTTTAAATGCATCAACATAAGGAAAGCAAGAAACTGGACAAAAAATGAATAACAAGTCTCAAGTCTAGAACCTCAAGGCTTAGGATTATCGTCTTCGGTTTGATATTCTCTCCTCTAGTCCTACTTGGGTAGGAGCCCTACCTTTCAGACGTAGTTGGGTGGCAGCCCTTCCCCCATGACATTGGAGAGCCCCATCCCATGGTGGCTCTGTGCCTGGGTCCTGCCCCTACGGCAGTTCACTGCAGGGGTCCCACCTCCATGACTGCTCTGTGCTTGGATTACATATCTGGAGCTCTCCTGGGCTGGAATCATGTACCCGTGGCTCTGCAGATCTTGTTTTGTTGGAGCAGCCCCACCCTCTACAACTCTCCTGCGCCTTGCCTGAGTAGCGACTCTGTGGTGGTATCACCCTCATGGCAGTTCTCTGCCTGGATCCCGTGGCTCACCAGGACATCACTTGAAATCAAAGTGGAGGCAGCCACAACCCCACAGAGGGATTCAGCACAGTGCGTGCTACACTGCTGCTCCTAGGGCTGCCGAGAAGCATGGTGACAGAGTCTATAAAATAGAGCCCAAAATGTGAGATGGTGCTGGACAGCAAGTCCTCTCCTTTGATATTGTTCCGCCCCACAAGCTCTGACACTCGGAGCCTGTGGTGAGACAGCATCCTGAGAATTATCAATATACGGTTATTCTTTCATTGCTTAGATGAAGACGATGTTTAGATGGCTGGCTAATCTCACCATGATCTTGATAAATGATACCTAGCTTCCTTTAGGCTAGCCAATCAATACTAATCTCCTTATGAAATGATCACTTGGCCACAATTTTGTTCTCTCTCTCAAAAAATTTGTATCATTTTTTCCATTATAGATAGGATGAAAATTTTCTAAATTTTTTACTTCTTTTGATGAAAACCTTTTATCTTTCAATCACTTCTCTCTTCTGGCATTTTACTATAAGCAGGAAAGAGGAAGCAGGCTAATGCTTCAATATATTGTTCAAAATCTTTTCAGCCAAATATTGGTTATTTACAAGTTGTATCTTCTACAAAACATTAGAAAAAAATACAATTCAGACAATTTCTTTTTACTTCATAACAATAATGGCATTTCCTCCATTGTCCAATAGCATGTTCTTTATTTCCACCTCAGATCTCATTGGAATGGCTGTTAGCATTCACATTTACACCAACATTCTATTCATGCCCACTTAGATGTTATCTATGAAAACTGAAGCTTTCTCTATAGCTCTCAGCCTATCCTTTGAGCCGTCTCCAGAATCACCCTCAGTTGTCTATTCACAGCAATGTAGGCTTATTTTTTTTAGCCTGCACCTAAAAACTCTTCCAGTTTTTACCTATTACCCAGTTTCAAAAGCTGCTTCCACATGTTTACATATTTGTTACAATATTTCCACTTCTTGGTACTAGTTTTCTGTCTTAATTTATTCAGATTGCTGTAACAAAATATGATAAACTATCTGGTTTCTTCTTTCTGCTTAATATAAAATACAGTAAGAGAGAGATAAGAAAGTACTGTTGAACATGAAGGAGATGATGGTTTTAAGAATTCTGTCTCTGTAGGTAACATACGCTAAAATTAAGCAATGATTTCTGAGAACAGATAAAAACTACTGCACCAACACCTAAGCCAAGTGTGTGATTGTAAAATCTTTTGTTAATGTCTCAGGAAGACTAGAGGAAGTGTACCAAGGTGCTATTCAGTCCAATAATATGCTATTTAGAGAGAACAAAGGTGTGCTTCACACATCTTCTCAACAGGTCTTTTAGGAAGCTTAAAGGTGTTTTCCCTCAGCCTTTTCATCAGAAACTCAATGTGTTAGTCTCTTCTCACACTGCTATAAAGAAATACCTCAAACTGGGTAATTTATAGAAAAGAGGTCTAATTGGCTCACAGTTCAGCAGGCTGTACAGGAAGCATGATTTTGGCATCTGCTCAGCTTTGGGGGAGACCTCAAGAAGAGTACAGTCATGGCGCAAGGCAAAGGGGAAGCAGGCACACCTTACGTGGCCGGAGCAGGAGGGAGAGAGAGAGGGGGATGCGCTACACACTTTTAAACCACCAGATCTCAGGATAACTCACACACATTCGTGAGAACTGCACCAAAGGGGAATTCTGCACGCTTGATCTAGTCACGTCCCACCAGGCCCCACTTCGAACCTTGGGAATCACAATGACATGAGACTTGGGCAGGGACACAGACCCAAATGTATCACTCAAATAAGCAAATAGAAAAGTGCTTATTTTAAAGAAATTTACGTGTATGGCTTTTGTCTAATGAAGTGGGTTTTAGTATGTCAAAGATGATCTAGAAAGATTTTGAAAAGATTATTTACGCAGAAACATCACTAGTTGGACTGAAAGGCCTTAGAGACATTGAAAAATGAGCTTAAATAAAAAGAGAACTGGCTCCCTCCCCAATTCTACTGGCGGGTACAGGGCTCAAATATGAACAGATCTACCTTTTAATGATAAAGGAAAGATGACGCAGGAGGTAGAACCAACAACTCAAAGGACAGAGCTGAGAGCCTTAGTAAATCATTCCCAGCATTTGAAACCTAACCACAGAACTTTCAACTTTTGCCTGGCTAGATTACAGAATTCCTTTGGGCTTCCTTATGCTAGTGAATTCTTTTCACCTCCTGTATTTTCCCTTTTTGAACATCAAGGCTATAGCGGTTTTTCTATGTCTGCCCCACCATTGTCTATTGGGTTTGTATAAACCAGATAATTTTTTATTTTAGTTCCACAGGTCTACAGATTGAGAGCAACTGTACTCTAGGAGCTAAACTTTAGAAAGTACAGCAAAGGGGTGACATTCACAACTGGTCCTGATTTAAGTGACAAGATTCTGAACTTAAAGCAGATTCTACAGTAGAATACAACATCTGTGGATCTTGAGGGGAGAGAAATGTATTTTTTAAGAGGGAGGAAATTAAGATTTTTGGCTAGAGGATGAATTGTTTTATACTTCATCCTCCCTTTAAAAGGAAGACTTTTCTTCCCTTGCTGTTGATTGTGGGGTGGATTTAGCAAATAGCGTATGGCAGAAATTATGCTAAGTCATGTCTGAGATTAGATTACAAGAAGACTGCAGCTTCTATCTGGCATGGAACTTTCTCACTTTCAGATCACTTGTTCTGGGGAAAGTCAGCAGCTTTCTGAAGTCTCTAGCCAACAGGCATCAAAAAGTTAAAGCCTGCCAACAACTATGTGAGAGATCTTATTTAGAAATATGTCTTCTTTGAGTAGCCTTAAACTAAGATCTCAATACGGGCCCAGCTATTTTAGGAAATAATACTGCATTCCTGACCCACAGACACCATCAGATGATAAATGTTTATTGTTTTCAAGTTGCTGTGTTTTCTGGTAATTTATTATACAGCATTAGAAATCTAATAAACACTTATACGGTATTAGAAAAGTCTCATAGCAGTAGCCTATGGATCCATCTTTTAAAAATAGAATATAAAAGTAAGGTAAATGCAAAGTAAGCAGAAGAAAGTAAATCACAAAGAGCACAAATTAATTAAATTATAATCAGAAAGATAATTTAAAAAGATCAATGAAACTAAAAGTTTGTTCTTTGAAAACGTAAATAAAATTGAAGAGAAAAAAATTTAGTAACACTGATTAGGAAATAAACAAGAGAGAAGACATTTCAATAACAAAAATGAGGGAAGTTACATTCTTCTATGTCTTTTACATATTAAAAGGATAATTGTGAAGTATTATATATGCCAATTTTTTTCCAGTAAAGTTAACAACTTAGATTAATTGGACAAAATTTGTAAAAGACACAAATACCAAAGATCACAACAGAGTGAAAAGGAAACCTGAATGCACCTGTATTTATTAAAGAGATTTAATTTGTAATTTAAAACATTGCAAAACAGAAACTTTGGCCCACATGGCTATACTGGTGAATTATACTAATCATTTAAGAAAGAAGTAAACTCTTCCAGAAAAAAGAAGAAAGAAAACATCTCACTTAACTTATTTTATGAGGCCAACTTTATTCTGATATCAAAACCAATTAACCATATTACAGGTAAACAAGACTAGAGACCAACATTTCTTATGTATATAGTCACAAAAATTCTTAATAAGACTTTAGCATAAAAGAAACAAAACAAATAATATATAAAACAGATAATACATTATGAGCAAATTGAATTAAAGAAATGCAAAGTTGATTCAACATTTGACAATCAACATAATTCATCACATTAAAAAGCTGAAAGTATATGATTATTTCAATGGATACAAATAAGCCTTTGAAAAAAATCAACATACATTTATTATAAAATTTCTCATGAAACTTGAAATAGAAAGAATTTATTCACTATGATAAAGAGAATTTACAAAAAACCTGGGGGTACCAATACACTTAATATGGAAGACTATATATTTTCCTCCTGAGTTGGGAAAAAATAAGTGTCTGCTCCTCTCTGTTCAATATTGTAATGAAAGTTCTAGTTGGAAAATAAGTCAAGAAAAAGAAATGACTCATATCCATATGAAAAAAAAGGAATGAATGCCTTTATTTGCATATGACATTTTATCTATGTATAAAATCTTAAATAATCTATTTAGAAATAGATACTAGCAATTATGCAATCATGAGTGACTTCAACAGGGTTAATGTTTAGTAAGGTGCATATTGAAAAATCGGTTGTGTCTATGCATTAACAACAAGCAATTGAAATAAAAAACACCATTTACAATAGCTTCCCAATATTTCATATCCTAATATGAAATATTAGAGATAAATCTTACAAAACTACATTGAAAGCCCTAAAAAATTCTGAGCTAAATTAAAGAAGACTAAGTGAAGGGAGATATACACATAGTGTTTATTGGTCAGAAGACTCAATATTATTCACATATTGTTCAGATATTTCTCCACAAATTGGTATGTAGATTCACTGAACATTATCAAAATCCAAGAAAATGTTGATAGCTTTATAGAGATATTTTTCTTACCATAAAATTCACCCAATTCAACTGTAAAATTCAAACATTTTTAGTGTATTCACAAAGTTGTACAACTGCCACTAAGATGAATTTTAGAGCATTTTCATCACCACAGGAAGAAACTCTTTACCTATTAGTAGTCACTTACCATTCCTGCCGTCCCCAGACCTGGGAAACCACTAATATGCTTCCTGTCTCTGTGAATGCGACTATTCTTGGCATTTCATTTAAGTGTAATCATACAATATGTAGTCCTTTGTGACTGGCTTCTTTAACATGGAAAATATTCTCAAATTTCATTCGTGTTGTGACATGTATCAATACTTCATTCTTTTTATTGCCTAATGATATTCTATTGTATGAGTATGCCACATCTTATTTGTTCATTCATCAGTTGATGGACATTTGGTTTATTTACACATGTTGGCTATTATGAGTAATGTTGCTATGAGTACTCATGTATAAATTTTTGGGTGGACATACGGTTTTATTTCTCTTTATTTAGGAGTGAAATAACTGGATCATATTGTAAGAAGAGTTTTAACACTGAATTTTTCCAAAGTGACTGCATAGTTTTACATCCTTACCGATAATGGATAATAGTTCCAATGTCTCCATAGCCTGATCAACACTTACTATTATCGGACTTTTGATTCTAGCTGTCCTAATGAATATGCAGTGGTATCTCATTGTGGTTTTGATTTGTATTTCCTTAATTACTAATGATGTTGAGCATATTTTTATGTAATTAGACATTTGCATATATCTTCTTTGAAGAAATGTTTCTTTGAATCCTTTGTCCATTTTTTAAGTTGGGTTATTTGTCTTTTGGTTGTGGATTTGTAAAATTTCTTCCTGCAGATATAATCCTTGCTCAGATATATGATTTGAAAATATTATCATCTGTTCTGTGGGAAATCTTTTTGCTTTGTAATAAGTTTTCAGCACAAATAATTTAATTTTAATGAAATGTAATTTATCTATTTTAACTTTTGTTATATGTGTTTTTGGTATCATGCCTAAAAATCCATTGCCTAACAAGGTCACAAAGATTTACGACTATGCTTTATTCTAAGAGTTTTATACTTTCAGCTTCTATGTTGATCTATGTTCCATTTTCAGTTAAGTTTTGTGTGTGGTGTGAGAAAGGGGTCTAATTTCAGGGTTTTTTTTTAACATATGAATATTTAGTTGCCTCATAAAATGTGTTGAAATAAATATTATTTCCTGCATTGAATTTCCTCAGTAACCCTGTAAAAATTAATTGACCATCAATGTAAGGATATATTTCTGTACTCTCAATTTCATTTCATTAATCTGTCTGCTCATCTGGCAGTAACATATTATATATATTTATATTTTCAATTAATAATTGCAAATATATTGTGTAGTATGTATATATTTATAGGGCATATGTAATGTTATGATATATATACACATGTGCAATGATTAAAACTAATTTTTTTGAAGGTTAAACATGATTTATTATTTGTCAATGCTTCCCATATGATTCTTTTTTTATTATATTTTAAGCTCTAGGGTACATGTGCACAACATGCAGGTTTGTTACATAGGTATACATGTGCCATGTTGGTTTGCTGCACCCATTAACTAGTCATTTACATTAGGTATTTCTCCTAAATGCTATCCCTCCCCCTGCCCCCCACCACCCCACAACTGGCCCCTGTGTGTGATGTTCCCTGCCCTGTGTCCAAGTGTTTTCATTGTTCAATTCCCACCTATGAGTGAGAACATGCGGTGTTTGGTTTTCTGTCCTTGTGTTAGTTTGCTGAGAATGATGGTTTCCAGCTTCATCTATGTCCCTGCAAAGGACATGAACTCATCCTTTTTTATGGCTGCATAGTAATCTGTGGTGTATATGTACCACATTTTCTTAATCCAGTCTGTCATTGATGGACATTTGGGTTGGTTCCAAGTTTTTGCTACTGTGAATAGTGCCACAATAAACATACATGTGCATGTGTCTTTATAGCAGCATGATTTATAATCCTTTGGGTATATACCCAGTAATGGGATCACTGGGTTAAATGATATTTCCAGTTCTAGATCCTTGAGGAATCGCCACACTGTCTTCCACAGTGGTTGAACTAGTTTACACTCCCACCAACAGTGTAAAAGTGTTCCTATTTCTCGACATCCTCTCCAACATCTGTTGTTTCCTGACCTTTTAATGATCGCCATTCTAACTGGTATGAGATGGTATCTCATTGTGGTTTTGATTTGCGTTTCTCTGATGACCAGTGATGATGAGCCTTTTTTTCATGTGTCTGTTGGCTGCATAAATGTCTTCTTTTGAGAAGCATCTGTTCATATCCTTTGCCCACTTTTTGATGGAGTTGTTTATTTTTTTCTTGTAAATTTGTTTAAGTTCTTTGTAGATTCTGGATATTAGCCCTTTGTCAGATAGGTAGATTGCAAAAATTTTCTGGTATCACTAGTGGAGGCTGCAGAACAGCAAATATTGCAGAACAACAAATATTGCTGCCTGATACTTCCTCTGGAAGCTTGGTCCCAAAGGGGCACCCGCCTGTATGAGGTGTCAGTTGGCCCCTACTGGGAGGTGTCTCCCAGTTAGGCTACATGGGGGTCAGGGACCCACTTCAGGAGACAGTCTGTTAGTACTCAGAGCTCAAACACTGTGCTGGGAGAACCACTGCTCTCTTCAGAGCTGTTAGACAGGGATGTTTAAGTCTGCAGAAGTTTTTGCTGCCTTTTGTTCTGTTATGCTCTCCCCCCATAGGTGGCGTCTACAGAAGCAGCAGGCCTTGCAGAGCTGCAGTGGACTCTGCCCACTTCGAGCTTCCTGGCCACTTTGTTTACCTACTCAAGCCTCCGCAATGAGGGATGCCCCTCCCCCTGCCAGGCTGCTGCCTCACAGGTCAATCTCAGACTGCTGTGCTAGCAGTAAACAAGGTTCCATGGACACGGGACCTGCTAAGCCAGGCGCGGGATATAATCTTCTGGTGTGCCATTTGCTAAGACCATTGGAAAAGCACAGTATTTGGGCGGGAGTGTCCTGATTTTCCAAGTAGTCTGTCACAGCTTCCCTTTGCTAGGAAAGGGAAATCCCCTGACCCCTTGCACTTCCTGGGTGAGGCGATGCCCTGCTCTGTGCTTCCCAGGTGACGCAATGCCCCCCTCTGCTTTGGCTTGCCCTCCATGGGCTGCACCCACTATCCAACCAGTCCCAATGAGATGAACCAGGTACCTCAGTTGGAAATGCAGAAATCACCATCTTCTGCGTCGATCTTACTGGGAGCTGCAGACCAGAGCTTTTCCTATTCGGACATCTTGGAATAGAATCTCAATTAAAACCAATTAACATTTTCATTACCACACATACTTATTCTCTGTGGTGAGAATATTTAAATCTACTCTCTTAGCAATTTTGAAATATACAATATATTAAGTACTCAGTATAGTTGATAGGCTCTTGAAAACTGAGACTTTAAGCAAAACAATGTACAATAAAACCAATTTTACCATAGGCTAATTGATATAAACAGAAGTTCCTTTGGCATATATCTGATCGAAAAACATTACCAAATTTCCAAGTAAAGACCCAAAACACTTCTAATATTAGACATGTAAATAAATATGAGCTATACATACATTTAAGAAAGATTAACAAATACAAGATAATTATTTACTCAATTTTTGGTGAATCAGTCAGTTACAATGGTTTTAGTGGTGGTGGTGGGCTAAATCAAGGACTAAAGGTTTGCCAAACAAAAATTGTAAGGAGCACCTCTTACCAGCATGAAATTCAATAACCATAATGATCAGGGTGGGTCTGCTGAGTGCTTTTGTACAACATCCTTTATTGTCATCCACTTGTATGATTATCATATACTTTCTGAATATTTATTTTACAATAGTTTGTATTCATTCATTCATTTTTCAACCAGCTTATGCCAGTTCAGAGTCTGGGTGGCTACAGCCTATCCTGACAGCTCAAGGCACAAGATAGGAACCAACCCTGGACAGAATGCCATTCTATCACAGGGTGCCTTCACATACACAGCCACACTTGCTAATATTGGGACAATTTAGACCTAATGGTGCACCAGTACAGCTAATGTGCACATCTTTGAAATGTGGGAGGAAAACAAAGTATCCAAAGAAAATCTGCACAGACATGAGGAAAATGTACAAACTCCACACAGAGAGTGGCCCCAGCTGGGAGTCATATTTTTTTTCTCATCAAAGTAATAACAAAATGATGTTGAGTGAAAAGATGTTATTTGAGGGCCCACTTTACATTATCAACAATAGTCACTATACTGTGCAATAGACTGCGAAAACTTACTCCTCTCTAATTCACACTTTGTACACTTGACCTCTCTAATTCACACTTTGTACACTGAGGAGGTGTATTAGTCCATTTTCATGCTGCTGATAAAGACATACACAAGACTGGGAAATTTACAAAAGAAAAAGAAGTTTACTGGATTTAAAGTTCCACATGGCTATGGAGGCCTCACAATCATGGAGGAAGGTGAGGAGCAAGTCACATCTTGTGGAACTTTGGAACTGGGTAACACCCACCAGTCCCCACCTTCATCTCCAACTTTGGTAACCACTATTTTACTAATTTTGAGTTAACATTTTTAGATTCTACATATAAGTGAGATCATGAAATATTTGTCTTTCTATTTCTGGCTTATTTCATTTATCACAATATCCTTCATGTTCATCCATGTTGTTGCAAATGACATGATTTTCTTCCTTTTTAAAAGGATGACTATTATTCCATTATGTAAATACACCACATTTTATCTGTTTATTCATTGATGGACACTTAGGTTGCTTCCATACCTTGGCCATTGTGAAGAGTGCTGCAATGAACACAGAAGTGCAGATAACTTTGACATATTGATTTTAATTCCTTTCGCTATATATCCAGAAATGGGATTGCTTGGATCATATAGCAATCCTATTTTTAATTTTTTGTGGAAACTATACTGTTTTTCATAATGGCTATACTAATCTATATTTCCACCAACAGTGTACGAGTGTTGCCTTTTTTCCACATTCTCACCAACTTTTATCTTTCACCTTTCTGGTAATAGCCATCCTAATAGGTGTGAGGTGATAGCTTATTGTGGTTTTAATTTGCATTTCTCTGATTAGTCATGTTGATTTTCTTTTTTTTTTATTGTAATTGTTGGCTGTTTATATGCCTTCCTTTGAGAAATGTCTATTTAGGTGCTTCCTTTATTTTTTTCCTTTTTTCTATTTTGCTGTTGAATTCTTTTGAGTTCTTTATATATTTGAAATATTAACCCATTATCAGATGTACAGTTGCCAAATATTTTCCCTTAATTTGTGTATTGTCTTTTTACTCTAATTGCTTCATTTGCTGTGCAGAAAATTTTTAGTTTGATGCAACCTCATTTGTCTATTTTTGCTTTTATTGCCTGTGCTTTTGGGGTCAAATCAAAGAAATCTTGGCTCCCACCCATGTTATGGAGGGATTCCTCTATGTTTCCTTCTAGTAGTTTTACAGTTTTGGGTCTTATGTTTAAGTCTTTAATCCATCTTGAGTTGATTTTTATATAGGATGTGAGAGAAGAGTCCAATTTTATTCTTTTACTTGTGACTATCCAATTTTCTTAGAACCCTTTAATGAAGAGACTATGCTTTTCCCAATAAGTATTTGATATGGTTTGGCTGTGTCCCCACCCAAACCTCATCTTGAATTGTAGTTCCCATAATCCCCACATGTCCTTGTAGGGATCCAGTGGGAGGTAATTTAATAATGGGGGCAGTTACCTTCATGCTGATCTCATGATAATGAGTGAGTTCTCATGAGATCTGATGGTTTTATAAGGGACTTCTCCCCTTTTGCTCTGCACTTCTCCTTGCTGCCACCATGTGAAGAAGGACATGTTTGCTTCCCGTTCAATCATGATTGTAAGTTTCCTGAGCCTCCTGATATGGTTTGGCTCTGTGTCCCCACAAAAATCTAATCTTGTAGCTCCCATAATTCTCACATGTTGTGGGAGAGACCCAGAGGGAGATGACTGAATCATGGTGGGCTAGGGTGGGGGGGGTGTTCTTGTGCTGTTCTCAAGATAGTGAATGGGTCTTATGAGATTTGATGGTTTCAAAAATGGGAGTTTCTCTGCACAATCTCTCTGCCTTCTGCCATCCACATAAGATGTCTTTACAGCAGTGCCCCACTACCCAGTACCAATTTGCTGTATTAGTCCGTTCTCATGCTGTTAATAAAGGCATACTTGAGACTGAGTAATTTATAAAGGAAAGAGGCTTAACTGACTCACAGTTCCTCAGGGCTGAGGAGGTGTATTAGTCCATTTTCATGCTGCTGATAAACACATACACAAGACTGGGAAATTTACAAAAGAAAAAGAAGTTTATTGGATTTAAAGTTCCACATGGCTGTGGAGGCCTCGCAATCATGGAGGAAGGTGAGGAGCAAGTCACATCTTGTGGAACTTTGGAACTGGGTAACAGGCAGGGGTTGAAACAGTTTGGAGGGCTCAGAAAAAGACAGGAAAATGTGAGAAAGTTTGGTACTTCCTAGAGACATGGAGGGCTCAGAAGATAGGAAGATGTGGGAAAGTTTGGAACTTCCTAGAGACTTGTTGAATGGCTTTGACCAAAATACTGATAGAGATATGGACAATGAAGTCCTGGCTGAGATGGTCTCAGATGGAAATGAGGAACTTGTTGGGAACTGGAGTAAAGTTCACTCTTGCTATGCAAAGAGACTGGTGGCATTTTGCCCCTGCCCTAGAGATCTGTGGAACTTTGAACTTCAGAGAGATGATTTATGGTATCTGGTGGAAGAAATTTCTAAGCAGTAAAGCATTCAAGAGGAAGCAGAGCATAAAAGTTTGGAAAATTTGCAACCTGATGATGTGATAGAACAGAAAAACCCATTTTCTGAGGAGAAATTCAAGCCAATTGCAGAAATTTGCATAAGTAATGAGGAGCCAAATATTAATCACCAGCCAGGTGCAGTGGCTCATGCCTGTAATCCCAGCACTTTGGGAGGCCAAGGCAGGCAGATCAACTGAGGTCAAGAGTTCAAGACCAGCCTGGCTAACATGGTGAAACCTGATCTCTACTAAAAATACTAAAATTAACCAGGCATGATGGCAGGTGCCTGTAATCCCAGCTACTCAGGAGGCTGAGGCAGGAGAATCACTTGAACCCAGGAGGCAGAGGTTGCAGTGAGCTGACACTGCACTCCAGCTTGGGCAACAAGAGCGAAACTCCATCTCAAAAAAAAAAAAATGTTAATTACTAGGACAATGAGTATATAATCTCCAGGGCATGTCAGAGACCTTCATGGCAGCCCATCCCATCATACGTCTAAAGGCATAGGAGGGAAAAATGATTTCCTTGGCCAGGGCCTGGGCCCTTCTGCTGTGTGCAGCCTCAGGACTTGGTACCCTGAGTACCACCCAGTTCAGCAGTGGCTATAAGGGGCCAAGGTACAGCTCAGACTGTTGCTTCAGAGGGTGCAAGCCCCAAGCCTTAGCAGCTTTCAGTTGGTTTGGTCCTGTGGGTACGCAGAAGGAAAGAATTAAGGTTTGGGAACCTCCACCTAGATTTCAGAGGATGTAGGGAAATGCCTGGATGTCCAGGCAAACGTCTGCTGCAGCAGTGGAACCCTCATGGAGAACCTTTGCTAGGATAGTGTGGAAGGGAAATGTAGGGTCAAGCCTCCACACAGAGTCCCCACTGGGGCACTGCCTAGTGGAGCTATGAGAAGTGGGCCAGACCTCCAGACCCCATAATGGTAGATCCCCTGACAACTTGCACTGTACACATGGAAAAGCCACAGAAACTCAATGCCAGCCTGTGGAGGCAGCTGGGAGGGGGCTGTACCCTGCAAAGCCACAGGGGTGGAGCTTCCTAAGGCCGTAGGAGATCACCTGTTGCATCAACGTGATCTGGATGTGAGACATGGAGTCAAAGGAGATCATTTTGTAACTTTAAGGTTTAATGACTGCCCTCTTACATTTTGGACTTGCGTGGGGCCTGTAGCCCCTTTGTTTTGGCCAAGTTCTCCCATTTGGAATTGGTGTATCTACCCAATGCCTGTATCTGCATTGTATCTAGGAAGTCACTAACTTGCTTGTGATTTTACAGTCTCGTAGGTGGAAGGGACTTGCCTTGTCTTAGATGAGACTTTGGACTTGAACTTTTGAGTAAATGCTGAAATAAGTTAAGACTTTGGGGGACTGTTGGAAGGGCATGATTGTGTTTTGAAATGTGAGGACATGAGATTTGGGAGAGGATGGGGCAGAATGGTAAGGTTTGGCTGTGTCACCACTCAAATAGCATCTTGAATTATACTTTCCAGAATCCTCATATGTCCTTGGAGGGACCTGGTGAAAGATAAATTTAATCAGGGGGACAGTTACCTTCATGTTGTTCTAGTGATAGTGAGTAAGTTCTCATGAGATATGCTGGTTTTATAAGGGGCTTTTTCCCTTTTGTTCTGCACTTCTCCTTGCTGCCACCATGTGAAGAAAGATGTGTTTGCTTTCCCATCTACCATGATTGTAAGTTTTCTGAGGCCTCCCCGGCCCTACAGAACTGTATTCAATTAAAACTCTTTCCTTTATAAATTACCCAATCTATGGTATATCTTTATTAGCAGTATGAGAATGGACTAATACAGTATTCTTAGTATCTTTGTCAAAAATCAATTGACTATAAATGTGTGGGTTTATTTCTGGGCTCTCTATCCTATTCCATTGGTCAAAATGTCTGTTTTTATGCCATGTTGTTTTGGTTACTATAGCTTTATAATATATTTTAAATTGAGATAATGTGATGTTTCCAGATTTGTTCTTTTTGCTCAAGATTGCTTTGGCTATTTTGTTTTTTTTGTTGTCGTTGTTGTATTATATAAAGTTTAGGATTGTCTCATTCTATTTCTGTGAAGGAGATTGAAATTTTGACAGATTGTATTGAATCTGTAGATGAATTTTGGTAGTAATGTCAATCTAATGATATTCATTCTTTTATATACATGGGATGTATTTCCAATTATTTAGATCCTCTTTTATTTCTTTCTACAATGTGTTATAATTTTCAGTGTACAAGTTTTACGCTTCCATATTATATTTGTACCAATGTATTTTGCCCTCTTTGATGTTATTGTCAATGAAATTGTTTTCTTAATTTAATTTTTTATTTTTTATTTTTAAAATATATAAATAAAATTTATTTTTAAAATATTCTTATAATATTGAATAGAAGCAATGAGAGTAGGTTTTCTTATCCTGTTTCAGATCCTATGGAAAAAGCATTTTTTTTCTATAAGTATAATGTTATTTGTGAATATTTCATTGATGCTGATTATGTGTTGAGAAATTTCCCTTTATTTCCTAGTTTGTTGAGTGTTCTTTTGCATCATTAGAGTATGTTGGATTTTTATAAATGCCTTTGATGCATCTATTGATAATATTTTAGATTTTTGTCCTATATTCTGTTGGTAGGTTGTCTTACATTTATTATCTTTCACTTGTTAAGCAAATATTACATTCCTGGAATAAACCCCACTTGACCATGATGTATAGTTGCATAAAATATGCAATTATTTGTTGCTGGACTAAATTTGCTAGTATTTTTATATCTATGTTTCTAATATATTGGTCTGTGTTTTTCCTTCTTTGTAATTTCTTTTGACATCAGAGTACTATTGGCCTCATAGAATATGTAGTAAAATGTTCACTCTCTTGTTTTTGGAAGAATTTCTTAAGGATGATATTAATTCCTCTTTAAAAGTTTGGGAGAATTTACCATTGAAGCTATATGATCTTTGGCTTTCTTTTCTGGGAAAATTTAAATTTATTAATTCAGACTCCTTATCACTTTTAGTTAATTTGAGTTTCTTATTTTTTGCTTGAGTCAGTTTGGGTAGTTTGTGGTTTTCTAGAAATTTGTCCCTTTCATCTAAACTAATTAATTTGCTTATATATTTCTGTTTATAAAGGACATTTACAAATCTTTTTATTTATCTTATGATGGGTAGTTTCTTAAGGTGAGATGTTGATTTGAGAGGCTTCTTCCTTTTTAATATAGCAGTTTCCCTTTGAGAACTGCTTTACTGCAACCATAAATTTGGGTAAGTTTGTTTCTATTTTATACATCTCAAAACATTTTCTAATTTACAATATGATTTATTGTTAGAAGTTTTAGTTACTTAGAAGTGTAGTTTTACTTCCAAATATTTGGGCATTCCCCAAAATTTCTTCTATTTTATTTTCAATTTAATTACATCATGCTTATTGAATATGATTTGTATGATTTCAATCCTTTTAATGTTACCAGTGCTTGTTTTATGACATAAAATATGATCTATCCTGGAGAATGTCTTTATATAATTGAGAAGAATGTGTATTCTGCTCTTGGTGGGTGGGGTGTTCTATTGATGTCTGTTAGGTCTAGTTGGTTTATGGTGCTGTTGAAGTCTTGTATATGCTATTCATTAACTAATAACACTATTCATTATTAAAAATGATGTATTAAAAACCCCAATTATTATTCCCTAGTTGTGTATTTCCCCTTTAAATTATGTCAGTTTTTATTTTATGGTTTTTAAGTCTCTGTTGTTTTTTGCATGTGTTTATTCTATTTTACTAATGATTAATCATTTTATTATAACATTTGTCTATTTGTCTTCAGTAACAATTTTTGTCTTAAAGTCTCCTTTATCCGTTATCAGTATGGCTATTACAACTTTTGCTTGGTAATTATTTGCATGGTACACATTTCCCACCCTTTTTCTTTTAAATTATTTGTGTCTAAATCTGAAATATATCTCTTGTAGACAGTGTAAGGCTAGATTATTTTTTCACATTGTTGATTAGCACATAATTGAACATATTTACGGAGTACAGTGTGATATTCAATACATATACACAATGTGTAAGTATCAAGCCAGGATAATTAGGATATCTATCACCTCAAACATTTATAAATTCTATATGTTTGGAATATCAAAATCCCCTGGTCTAGCTATTTGAAAATATATAGTAAATTACTAAAACTATAGTTACGCTACAGTGTTATAGAACACTAGAACTTATTTCTCCTATCTAGCTGCAATTTTCTTTTCATTAACCAACTTCTCCCAATTTCCCCACCCTTTACTTTTCCCAGCCTCTATTAACTACTATTCTACTCTTTACTTCTATGAGATCAACTCTTTAGCTTTTATATATGAATGAGAACATACAGTATTTATCTTTCTGTACCTGTCACATTTCATTTAACAAAATACCCTCTAGGCTCATCTATCTTGTTGCAAATAACAGCAAGATTTCATTCTTTTTTATAGTTGAAGAGTATTCAATTTTTGTAGAGATAAATAGATAGATATAGTTTAGATATTTTTTCCTCCAAATCTCATGTTGAAATGTGTAATGGTTAATATTGAGTATCAACCTGATTGGATTGAAGGATGCAAAGTATTGTCCCTGAGTGTGTCTGTGAGGGTGTTGCCAAAAAAGGATTAATATTTGAGTCAGTGGACTGACAGAGGCAGACCCACCCTCAATCTGGGTGGGCACAATCTAATCTGCTGCCAATATGACTAGGATAAAAGCAGGCAGAGGAATGGGGAAGGACTAGACTGTCTTAGTCTTCTGGCTGACATCCTTCTCCTGGGCTGATGTTTTCTGCCCTCAAACATCAGACTCCAAGCTCTTCAGCTTTAGAACTCTTGGGCCTTCAGCCACAGACTGAAGGCTGCACTGTCAGCTTCCCTACTTCTGAGGTTTTGGGACTCAGACTGGCTTCCTTGCTCCTCAGCTTGCAGACAGCCTATTGTGGGACCTCACTTGAAATTTTGTGAGTCAATATTCCTTAATAAACTCCCCTTTATATATACATCTATCCTATTAATTCTGTTCCTTGAGAGAACTCTGACTAGTACAAAATGTGATCCCCAATATTGGAGGTGGGGCAATAGTGGGAGGTGTTTGAGTCATGGGGGGCAGATCTTATGAATGGCTTGATGCCCTCCTTGCAATAATGAGTGAGTTCTTGCTTTATTTGTTCACATGATATCCAGTTGTTAAAAAGAGTCCGGTACCTCCCTCCTCTCATTCTCTTGCTCACTCTCTCACTATGTGACATGCTGGCTCCCTTTCCTTTCTGTCATGACTAAAAGCTTCCTGAGTCCTTACCAGAAGCAGATACTGGTGCCATGCATCTTTTACAGTCTACAGACCATAAGCCAGAATAAACTTGTTGTAAATTACTGAGTCTCAGGAATTTATTTATAGCAATGCAAAATGGACTCTCTCTCTGTCTGTCTCTCTCTCACAAACACACACACACACACACACACACACACACACACACACTACCACATTTTCCTTATTCATTTATCTGCTGATAAACTCACAGATTGATTTCATATCTTGGCTATTGTAAATAGTGCTGCAATAAATATGGGAGTCGAGATATCTCTTCCATATATTGATTTCCTTTTATTTTTTTTCACTATATATCTAGCAGTGGGATTGCTGTATCATATGGTAGTTCTATTTTAGTATATGCAGGAGAGCCCTCCATACTGTTTTCCACAATAGCTACACTAATTTACATTCTCAATAAGAATAAGGATTCCCTTTTCTCTGCCTCCTCACCAACACTTGTTATTGCCTATCTTTTTGATAATACCCATTGTAACTGAAGTGAGATAATAATTCATTGTGGTTTTGATTTGCATTTTGCTGATTAGTGTTGAGCATTTTTTCATGGTTGTTGGCTGTTTGTATGGCTTCCTTGAGAAATGTCTATTCAAATTATATGCCCATATTTGAATTTAATTATTTGGTTTTTTTGCTGTTGAGCTGTTTGAGTTTCTGTTATAGCCTGGAAACTAGTCCCTTCTTGGATAATCAGTTTGCAAATATTTTCTTCCATTCTACATGTTGTGTCGTCACTTTGTTGATTGTTTCTTTTTCTGTGCAGAAGCTTTTTAGTTTGATAAAATTCCATTAGCTACTTTTTGTTTATGTTTCTTGTGATTTTGAGGTCTCATCCATAAAAATCTTTGCATGAATGTCCTCCAGCATTTCTCCTATGTTTTCTTCTAGTAGTTTCAAAGTTTCAGGTCTTACATTTAAGTTTGTAATTGACTTTGATTTGATTTTTGTATATGGTGAGAGACAGGAATATAGTTTCATTTTTCTGCTTATTGCTATCCAGTTTTTCCTATATCACTTATTGAAGAAACTGTTCTTCCCACAATATATGTTCTTGGCATCTTAGTTGAAAATCAGTTGTCTGTAAAATTGTTGATTTATTTCTGGGTTCTCTTTGCTATTGCATTGGTCTATGTATCTGTTTTTTTATATCAGTACACAAAAGAGCAATGTAGCTGCATTGACTCCAGACAGCTACTATATTGGGCTCAGGAACTATGAGTACAGTGAAGTTCTCCTATAGGTAGGATCACATGTATTCATGATGTCAATGGGGACTGCCAGAAATTTGCTTACCTTTTTCCCACAACAGGGGGTCCTTCTTGGCTCCAAGTGTATCCTAGTCATGTGGTTTTGCCTCCCTTTCTATGCTGCCATCCCATGTTTCCATGCTTCAGGTGATTTTTGTCTCTTTATTTGTTAAATTCCTATGTTCTCCCTTAGGTACTCTTTGATGTGCAGTTAATTATTTGTATTTTGGTCTTTGTTTGTGTAGTAGGAGACTAGCATTGGACTTCTTAGTCTAGTCAGCTTCTTGATGATGTCTCTGGCTGGATCATTTTTTAAAACCCATTTTGCTATTCTACAACTTTTGACTGGAGGTTTTACTCCACTCACTTTTAATTTAATTACTGGTAAGGTAGATTTTATGTCTTCCATTTTTTCTTGTCTTCTGAATGTCTTATATCTTTGTTTTTTTCATTATGCCTTCTTTTGTATTAATAGATATATTCTAGTGTACAATTTAATCTCGTTATTGTTTTCATTTTGTTGCTGTTAGCTATTTTTCTAGGGGTTTCCCAGGACATTACAATTATTATCTTAAAGCAATCTAATTTATGTTAACAAAAACTTATTTTCAATAGTTTAAGAAATATTTACTTTAATATGCTTACATTCCCTAAATCTTCCTTTGTGTCATTATTGTCATTCAAATTTCATATGTATACATTATGTCTATCAGCATTTTATAATTAATTTCTTTATGCAATATTGTCTTAAAGTAGCTAAGAAAAATTATACAAATATATTTAGACATGTTTTATATTTACCTATGTAGTTATCCTTACTAGTACTCTTTAGTTATTCATGTAGATTTGAGTTACTATTTAGTGTCCTTTTCTTTTGGCATGAAAAACCTCCTATAATTATTTTTTGTAGGACATGTGTTTAGCAAAGCATGCTCTGAGTTTTTATCTGGAAATACCTTATTTTCTTTTTGATTTTTAAAGGAGAGTTTTACCAGATAGGGAATTAAAGATTGATATATTTTTTTCCTTCAGCACTTTGAATATATCATTCCATTGTGTTCTGGTCTTCATTGTTTGTAGTGAGAAGTCAGCTGTTAATTTTTATTTGGAATTTTTTGTACATGGTAAGTCATTTTTTCTTGTTGCTTTCACAATTCTCTCTTTGTTTTTGACTTTTTACAGCTTGACAGTTTAAAAATTTTATTATTTTACTTATTACACTTTGTATTCCTCAGGGCATCAATAAGAAAACAATTTGACATTTTACAGTTTAGCTTTTTATACCTTTTTCGTTTTGTTACAGTTTTTTCCCTTATAAATTCACATTTATTTATGGACAGAGAAAGATAGAAAGATGGATTTTATTTTAGAACTTGGGTCTGGCAGTTCTAAAGAGGTAACTGTGTCCTTTTTGTATGCATGCATAGTGGGAGAGGTGCAAGTGGTGAGGTCGCCACCAATATTTATATCTCTTCCAATTGTCCTGTACTTCTCCTCTGAGTCAACTTGCCTTAAAACCTGTGAAAGTAGGTTTCCAATCAGCTTCCAAGGGGTTATGTATGGCTGACAAGGAGGAACGAACAATCCAAGTTGTGTCTATATGTGAATTTCTTTCATTTGTCCTACTTTGAGGGTATAGAACATCCTGGATGTGTAGATTAATCTTTTCATCAAGGATGTGCAGTTTGTCTTTGTTTCTATTTTTAATCAAGTTTGTCTCTTTACCATCACATTTGGGAAGTTTTTAGACATTTTTAAAAAATATTATTTCTGCTTTTTGTCTCTTATCTCTTCTGGGAATTTCACTATGCATTTGTAGGTACAACTTGATAGTATCTCATGGATCTTAGAGACTCTGTCTATTTTTCTTAGTTATTTTTTGCTATTTCAAAATCTGGATTATGTCAGTTGGTCTCTCTTCAAGTTTGCTGATTCTTTCTTCTGCTAGATCAAGTCTACTGTTGAACTTTCCAAGTGAAATTTTTGTTATTGTTATTTTCAGTTCCAACATTTCTACTTGGCTTTATTTTTCTAATTACTGTCTCTTTATTCATATTCTATCTTATACATGTGATAATCACTGTTATACCTTTAATTTTTTAGACATTATTTTCTTTAGTTTTTTTTTTTTTAACTACAATTACAGTTGCTGATTTAAGTCTGTGTCTAATAAGTCCAATATTTGAGTCCCCTTAGGGAGTTTCTATTGACTGCATTTCTTTCCATGTATGAACCATACATTCAAATTTTTTGGTAATTTTTGTTAAAAACTGGATATTTGGGATAACATACTATGGTAACTCTGCAATACTTTATTCTTACTCTTATTCATGTTTTTTTGTTGTTGCTGTTTCTGTTTGTTTGGTTAGTGACTTTTTTGAACTAATTTGATAAAGTCTGTTTTTTCCTGTAATGTTCTGCCATGGAAGTTTCTGTTTGATTAACCTAGACATAAGCTAGTGATTGATCAGAGTTTTGTTTAAAAACCTTGAACTACCATCCTTTACCATGTGGATCTGTATGCAAGTTTAGTTATGCCTTCAATGTACAGGCTGTTTACAACTCTGACTTATCATTTACTTCCTGCTTGTATAATACTTTAAATTCAGACAGTCCTAAGAGATTGGGCCTGTCAGGTTGTATCATGGTCATATCCACATCCTTGTACATGCACGTAGACTTCTACAACTACAGGAATATATCAGAGCTTTTCCCAAGCTTTCTATGGGAATTTTGATACCCAAACCTTTTTAAAAATTGTCAGGCTCTTGCTTGCCTCAACTTGTATTAAAGTCGTAAGCAGCTGCTATGGTAAACAATTTTTTTTTAAACAAATTCTCTGGGGATAGACATTTTCAATGTGGTGAGCTCAAAGTCAAGCTAAATAATGGTAATGTCCTAGAAATCAGGTTATTCTAAATAGCTGTGATACAGGTCTAACTGTGACAGTAGCCTGAAGAAGGGCTTTTCTTTGAAGAAATGAAAGCCTAGTCTGTTCTTTGTAGTGGTGCAAGCTCCTGGTTTTCACTGCTATTGTAGTTGTGAGGTCTTGTTTTCAAGGGTACAATGAAGCCTTGAAGTTGAACTAATAACCAATATCTATGAAGAGGGATGGTGATAAGCCAAACATAAAAGCCAAAAATTGCTTTTCTTATCAAGGTATAACAGTTTTTCCTTTGTTTTGTTTTCATCAAAAACCCTGTAATTGTAATAAGACCATGGCTAATTTCCAGAGTCATTAAGAAAGCTGATTTTGACAATTTTTGCCAGAATTTTCACTGGTTTCGTGGAGAATGAGATTCACAGAAGTTCTCAATGATGCATTTGGGAAGTTACATCTCTGCATCCAAATTTTTAGAATAGTAATTGAAAAAATTGACCCTAAATTTTATTTAAAAATGCGAAGACATAGAATGGATAAATAAATCTTTGAGGAAGAAGAACAAAACTAAAGAAATAACACTGTCTGAATATAAAACTTACAATAAAGCAGTAGTAATGCAGACTGTGCTGTTGGCACCAAAATAAACAAATATATTAATGAAACAGAATAGAGAGCCAAAAAGTAAGCCCAGCCATATATGGACAACTGATTTTTGGAAAAGGTGCAAAGACAATTCAGTGGAGAAAGGACAGTTATTTCAATACTGGTTAACCAAACCCAACAAAAACAAAATTTTTAAAAATCTCTTGCAATTTATACCTTAGCTCACATTAAAACACTAATAGAGAAAAATTTTGGACCTAAATGTGAAACCTAAATTATAAAACTTTAGAAAAATATGTATTTAAAAACTGTTGTTATCTACATTTAGGGAATTAAAAGAAAATCTATTAAGACCATACTGATAAATTAAAATTTATAAAAATTAGAAAATTTTGTTCCTGAAACATACTATTAAAATAATTAAAAGTTAAGTCGCAACCTGGGAGAAAATATTTGCAGTCATATGTATATAAAAATATGTGTATTTGGAATATATAAAGAACTCTCAATCTAAAAAAGATGATGAAAACAACTCATTAAAATAGTTGATTTGGGCAATATTTCACTGTTAGATAAATACAAATTAAAAGTACAATGTGATCCTGCTACATATCTATTGGAATTGCTGAAAATAAAAATACAGATCATACCATTTATTGGCAACTATATGGAGAAACTGGAATTTTCATATACTACTGGTCAGAATGTAAAACAGAATAACCACTTTAGAAAAGAGTTTGGCAGTTTTCAAAAGACGTTAAACATATACCTACCATAAGATATGGTTATTCCACTCCAAGGATTTTACCCAAAAGAAATAAAGCCATATGTCCAAAAATAATCTTGCACATAAATATTCATAGCAATTTTAGTTTTAATAGCCTAAAACTATAAACAATGAAGTATCCATCAACAGATGAATGGATATTATATAATAGTATTCAGCAATGATTAGGAAAGAACTGTTGATATACACTACAAAATGAATGAATGAATCAAAAATAACTACATTTACGGGAGGAGATAGACAAAAATATTATATATTACATGGTATTATTGGTATTACAGTCTAGACAATGATAACTCATCTATATAAATGGAAAGTGAATCAGTGCTTACATAAGGAGAGTGCAAGGGAATAGTGGGTAGAAAGATGTAGTAGAAAGAATTACAAAAGGACATGAGCAAATTTGGGGAGTAATGTATACATTTATTAGTGTAGTGATGGTTTTATTGGAGTATACATATATCAGAACGTACCAATTTGTACACTTTAAATATGTGCAATTTGCATGTCAAATTTTTCTTTCAATAAAGTTGTTAAAAATAATTGTGGTCATTTGGATAAATGAATTATATATTTTTGTAAGGTAAGTGATAAAAAAAAATTCCTGGATTTTAAAAAAAGTGGATAGTATCCATTACTCATCATAGAAATGAAATTTAAAGCCACAAGTGGAGAAAGACACTGCTTAAACTTCTGGATTTGCAGCATAAGGAGCTTCAAAGACACTCTTTCAGGTAAAACTGAGAAAAGATTATGGATAGAGCATAACTTGCAAAAATTGTTTAAAAAACAAAAAGAAAACTCTTTAAAGTCCCTGGAAACTGTCTAAGAGCAGAAAGGAAATCACACAGAAGAAATATTTAATCAATAAACCTATGAAATGTAATTAATAACAGTGAAAGTCTGGAGCATGTAAGCCACAAACTGCCCCCCTCCCAGCGAAGCACTGAGACATCTGCTGTAAGCGGATTTGGCTAACATATCTGAGCTCTCTCTTCCTCCAGCTGCCAGTGAAGGGCCACAGTATCTTTTGAAGACAGCCTGGCCACATTACTTATCATCTCAACCAGCTGTGTGTCGAAGACTAAATTATAGAAGAAAGCATCCTAGAAAGTTGTCACAGGCTCCCTTCTTCCTTTCAGTTCCCATTCATAGGGCAGAGATTCTACTCCAGGTATGGCAAGTAAAAAATACTGGGATCTCCACAGTCGTTGCCCAACCTTGTTTCTCAGGTAGAGGTTTCATGACGGAGAGGTGTTAGGCCTCTGAGCCGAAGCTCAGCCATTATAACCCCTGTGAGCTCCACATATACATCCAGGTGGCCTGCAGGAGCCAAGAAGTCTGGAGCAGCCAAAAAACCACAAAGAAGTAAAACAGCCAGTTCCTGCCTTAACTGAATAACCAGCATTACAGCATTTTACTACTGTGACTTGTCCCTGCCTTACCTTAGCTGATCAATTGACTTTGTGACATTCTTCTTCTGGACAATGAGTCTTATGATCTCCCCACCATGTACCTTATGACCCCCTCCTCTGCTAACAATAGATAACCACCTTTCACTGTAATTTTCCATTACCTACCCAACTCCTATAAAACAACCCTTTTCCCATCTCTCTTCGCTGACTTTCTTTTCGGACTAGCCCACTTGCACCCAAGTGAATAAACAGCTTTATTACTCACACAAAGCCTGTTTGGTGGTTTCTTCACATGGACATGCTTGACAAGAGGTAAGCCAAGAAGACCAGAGCCTATAACCCTCTCTTAGTGCTGCAGTTATAAAACAGTAATGTTACTCTGAAAGAAATGGGCCCCTTTTTCTGCCCCAGTTCCAGAGCAGTGGTTTAGAGATTTTGACCAGAGGTAAAGACTGTTCAGAATAATAGACGGCTTTGAAGCCCCACCATTAGAACATGTCTGTATGTGAAACAGTGAAGGGAGCTTTAAGCTTAAGTGTGCTTTAAAAAGAATGGAGATGTGATAGTTAATACTGAGAGTCAACTTGATTGGATTGAAGGATGCCAATTATTGATCTTGGGTGTGTTTGTGAGGGTATTATCAAAGGAGAGTAACATTTGAGTCAGTGGGCTGGGAAGGCAGACCCCCCCTTAATCTGGTGGCCACCCTCTAATCAGTTGCCAGTGAATATAAAGCAGGCAGAAACCCATGAAAAGGAGAGACTGGCTTAGCCTCCCAGCCTACATCCTTCTCTGGTGCTGGACATTTCCTGCCCTCAAACATCAGACTCCAAGTTCTTCACTTTTGAGATTCGGACTGGCTCTCCTTGCTCCTCAAGCTTGTGGACATCCTATTGTGGGAATTTGTGATTGTATAAGGTAATACTTAATACACTCCCCTTTATATATATCTATCCTATTTTTTCTGTCCCTCTAGAGAACCCTGGCTAATACAGGAGATTTTTGTGGTAAACAATTTAAAGGGGGCAAGTAACTCTATGATAGCCACAACTAAAGCACAGACCAGTTAATTTACTGCAAAGAACCAGTAAAATAGATAGCTAATAGTATTCCTACTAGGGGCAGAATAAACCTCAAAGACTGATGTCAGAAATTATTCTTGCAAGATGGCTGAGTAGAAACAGAGGAATTTGGAAGTTCCCATCAAAAAAACAAAAAACAAACAAATAAACAAACAAAAACATAATAAGCATGTGAATCCTTCACCAGCAACCAAGGTATCCAGGTTCTGTCATAGAAATTGACTAGAAGGCTGGCGTAACCTAGGGAGAGAAGGAAGAGCAGTGTGGCGTGGTGGCTCACCTGAGAGCCACATGGGGAACCAGAACCTCCTCACCCAGCCAAGGGAGGCTGTGAGTGAGGGTGCCACCCAACCATGGAAACTGTGCTTTTTCCAAGGAACTGTGCAACCCACGGATCGGAGGATCCCACTCGCTAACCCATGCCACCACTGGGGCCTAGAGTCTCAACCCTGGAACATGCAGATTCTTTCAGCCTCTCTGCTGGAAACTGCTTAAGCCTACCAAACTCCTGGGAGGAGGGGCAACCAGCACCTGCTGTGGCTGCCTGTGGTCTAAGCTGTTTGAGCTCCTTGGGGGAGGGGCAGCCGCCAGCACTGAAACTAGCAACTGCCTAACAAGCTAAGCTCCCTGGGTGGGGAAAGGGCAGCACCCATTTCTATAGCTCCAGGCTATGCTTTCTCCCTGCTGGAGCCAGGGAAGCTGGAAGGCTTGGTCCCAAGACTTGTCCCCACAGCCCAACAAACCAGGTGTGGCAATCTGCAGCCAGAGCACCTTTTCAGGCCTAACTCTGACCCATCCTTCCTCAGGGGGCAGGGCTTCTCTCCAGGATCTCCAATAACTCCAGCTAGAGGCTGGAGACAGAATTCAGATCTCCCTGGGCCTGAGCCACTAGTGGGAGGGGTGGCTGGAATCTCTGTGGACCAGCAGATTTAGCCTCTCCTCCTGGTAGTTCTGAGGAATCCAGGTAGCCCAGATGAGTGGGTTCCCCCATAGTGAAACACACCATCTCCACCAAGGGAAAAAGTGCTTCATTAAATCAGTCCTGCTTCCTGTGTCACACAACTGGGTGAGACCCTCCAACAGGGATTGTCAGACACCCTATACAGGAGCGATCCTACTGGCATCAGGTTGGTGCCCCTTGTGGTCAGAGGTCCAAGAAGAAGGAGCAGACACCCATCTTTGCTGCTTTCCAGGCTCGTTGAGTGACATCTCCAGGCAAGGGAGTGAATCAGATAAATAGGGCCTGAAGTGAACCCCCGGCAAACTGCAGCAGCCCTAGAGAAGAGGGACCTGACTATTGAAAGAAAAACAAACCAGCAGAAATTGCCTCCACAAAAACCCCATCCAAGGGTCAGCAGCCTCAAAGACCAAAACTAGACAAACTCATGAAGATGAGAATGAATCAATGAAAAAATGCTGAAAACCCAAAAGGCTAGAGTGCCTGTTCTCCTCCAAACGTTCACAATGTCTCTCCATCAAGGGTGCAGAACTGGACGAATTGACGAAAGTAGGCTTCAGAAGATGGGTAATAAATAGTTAGGGATGAACATAAATGACCTGATGGAGCTGAAAAACACAGCGCAAGAACTTTATGAGGCATACACAAATCGACCAAGCAGAAGAAAGGATATCAGAGTTTGAAGACCACCTTACTGAAATAAGACATGCAGACAACAATAGAGAATAAAGAATAAAAAGGAATGAGCAAAGCCTCCAAGAAATATGAGACCTCATAAAAAGACCAAACCTACAATTGATTGGAGTACCAGAAGGAGATGGGGAGAATGGAAACAAGCTGGAATACACGCTTCAGGATATTATCCAGGAGAACTTCCCCAACCTAGCAAGACAGGCCAACGTGCAAATTCAGGAAATACAGAGAACACTATTAATACACTCCACAAGAAGATCAACCCCAAGACATATAATCCTCAGATTCTCAAAGGTTTAAGTGAAGGAAGAACTGTTCGGGGCAGCCAGAGAGAAAGGCCAGATAACCACAAAGGAAAGCCCATCATACTAACAGTGGACCTCTCAGCAGAAACTCTACGAGGTAGAACAGATTGGGGGCCAATATTCAACATTCTTTTAAAGAAAAGAATGTTTAACCCAGAATTTCATATCCAGCCAAACTAAGCTTCATAAGTGAAGGAGAAATAAAATCCTTTCCAGACAAGCAAATGCTGAGGGATTTCATTACCACCAGGCCTGCCCTGCAAGAGCTCCGTAAAGAAGCACTAAATATGGAAAGGAGAAACTGGTACCAGCCACTGCAAAAACACACCAAAATATAAAGACCAATGAAACTACAAAGAAACTGCATCAAATAGTGTGCAAAATAACCAAATAGCATCATGATGACAGGATCAAAATCACACATATTAATACTAACCTTAAATGTAAATGGGCTAAATGCCCCAATTAAGACACAGACAGGCAAATAGGATAAGGAGTCAAGATCCATCAGTATGCTGTATTCAGGAGACCCATCTTACATGCAAAGACACACATAGGCTCAAAATAAAGGGATGGAGGAAAAATTACCAAGCAAATGGAATGAAAAAAAAAAAAAGCAGGTGTTGAAATGCTAGTCTCTGAAAAAACAGACTTTTAAACCAAAAAGATTAAAAAAAGACAAAGAAAGGCATTACATAATGATAAAGGGAACAGTTCAACAAGAAGAGCTAACTATTCTAAATCTATATGCACCCAATACAGGAGCACCCAGATTCATAAAACAAGTTCTTAGAGGCCTAAAAAGATAATTAAACTCCCACACAATAATAGTGGAAGACTTTAACACCCCACTGTCAATATTACACAGATCAATGAGACAGAAAACTAACAAGGATATTCAGGACTTGAACTCAGCTCTGGATCAAGCAGAACTTGTAGATGCCTACAGAACTCTCTACCCCAAATCAACAGAATATAAATTCTTCTCAGTGCCACATGACACTTATTCTAAAATCGACCACATAATTGGAAGTAAAACACTTCTCAGCAAATGCAAAAGAACTGAAATCATAACGAACAGTCTCTCAGACCACAATACAATCAAATTAGAATTCAGGATTAAGAAACTTACTCAAAACCACACAATTTTATGGAAATTGAACAACTTGCTCATGAATGTCTCCTGGGTAAATAAGGAAATTAAGGCAGAAATCAAGAAGTTCTTTGAAACCAATGAGAACAAAGAGACAAGGTACCAGGATCCCTGGGACACAGCTAAAGCAGTGTTAAGGGGGAAATTTATAGCACTAAATGCCCACAACAGAAAGTTAGAAATACCTGAAATCGACACCCTAGCATCACAACTAAAAGAGCTAGAGAGGCAAGAAGAACAAACTAATCTAAAAGCTAGCAGAACACAAGAAATAACTAAGATCAGAGAAGAATTGAAGGAGATAGTGACATGCAAAACCCTCCAAAAAATCAATAAATCTAGTAGCTGGTTTTCTGAAAAAATTAACAAAATAGCTAGCTAGACTAATAAAGAAGAAGAGAGAGAAGAATCAAATAGGCACAATAAAAAGTGATAAAGATGATGCCTGTGTACTGAATGGTATGGCCTAGGTTTTCTTCTAGGGTTTTTATGGTTTTAAGTCTAACATTTAAGTCTTTAATCCATCTTGAATTAATTTTTGTATAAGGTGTAAGGAAGGGATCCAGTTTCAGCTTTCTACATATGGCTAGCCAGTTTTCCCAGCACCATTTATTAAATAGGGAATCCTTTCCCCATTTCTTGTTTTTGTCAGGTTTGTCAAAGATCATATAGTTCTAGATATGCAGCATTATTTCTGAGGGTTCTGTTCTGTTCCATTGGTCTATATCTCTGTTTTGATACCATGCTAAAACACCAAAAGCAATGGCAACAAAAACTAAAATTGACAAATGGGATCTAATTAAACTAAAGAGCTTCTGCACAGCAAAAGAAACTACCATCAGAGTGAACAGGCAACCTAAAGAATAGGAGAAAATTTTTGCAATCTACCCATCTGACAAAGGGCTAATATCCAGAATCTACAATGAACTCAAACAAATTTACAAGAAAAGAACAAACAACCCCATCAAAAAGTGAGTGAAGGATATGAACAGACACTTCTCAAAAGAAGACATTTATGCAGCCATAAGACATGAAAAAATGCTCATCTTCACTGGCCATCAGAGAAATGCAAATCAAAACCACAATGAGATACCATCTCACACCAGTTAGAATGGTGATCATTAAAAAGTCAGGAAACAACAGGTGCTGGAGAGGATGTGGAGAAGTAGGAACACTTTTACACTGTTGGTGGGACTGTAAACTAGTTCAACCATTGTGGAAGTCAGTGTGGCAATTCCTCAGGGATCTAGAACTAGAAATACCATTTGACCCAGCCATCCCATTACTGTGTATATACCCAAAGGATTATAAATCATGCTGCTATAAAGACACATGCACACGTAAGTTTATTTTGGCACTATTCACAATAGCAAAGACTTGGAACCAAGCCAAACGTTCAACAATGATAGACTGAATTAAGAAAATGTGGCACATATACACCATAGAATACTATGCAGCCATAAAAAAGGATGAGTTCATGTCCTTTGTAGGGACATGGATGAAGCTGGAAATCATCATTCTCAGCAAACTATCACAAGGATAAGAAAACAAACACTGTATGTTCTCACTCATAGGTGGGAATTGAACAATGAGAACACATGGACACAGGAAGGGGAACATCACACATGGGGGCCTGTTGTGGGGTGGGGGGAGGGGGGAGGGATAGCATTAGGAGATATACCTAATGCTAAATGACGAGTTAATGGGTGCAGCACACCAACATGGCACATGTATATATATGTAACAAACCTGCACGTTGTGCACATGTACCCTAAAACTTAAAGTGTAATAAAAAAAAGTGATAAAGCTGATATCACTAATGACCCCACAGAAATATGAACTATCATCAGAAAATACTGTAAACAATTATATGCAAATAAACTTGAAAATCTACAAGAAATGGATAAATTCCTGGACACATACACCCTCCCAAGACTAAACCAGGAAGAAGCTGAATCCCTGAATAGAACAATAAGAAGCTCTGAAATTGAGGCAGTAATTAATAGCCTACCAACCAAAAAAAGTCCAGGACCAGACGGATTCACAGCTGAATTCTACCAGAAATACAAAGAAGAGCTGGCATCATTCCTTCTGAAACTATTCCAAACAATTGAACAGGAGAGACTCCTCCCTAACTCATTTTATGGCCAACTTCATCCTGATACCAAAATCAGGAAGAGACATAACAAAAAAAGAAAACTTCGGGGCAATATCTCTGATGAACATCGATGCAAAAATCCTCAATAAAATACCGGCAAACTGAATCTGGCAACACACCAAAAAACATATCCACCACAATCAAGTTAGCTTCATCCCTGGGATGCAAGGCTGGTTCAACATATGCAAATCAATAAATGTAATCCATCATATAAATAGAACCAAAGACAAAATCCACATGATTATCACCATAGATGCAGAAAATGCCTTTGATAAAATTCAACATGGCTTCATGTTAAAAACTCTCAATAAACTAGGTATTGATGGAACATATTTCAAAATAATAAGCTATTTATGACAAACCCACAGCCAATATCATATTGAATGGATAAAAGCTGGAAGCATTCCCTTTGAAAACTGGTACAAGACAAGGACGCCCTCTCTCACTGCTCCTATTCAACATAGTATTGGAAGTTCTGGCTAGGGCAATCAGGCAAGAGAAAAAAATAAAGGGTATTCACATAGGAAGAGAGGAAGTTAAGTTGTCTCTGTTTGGAGATGACGTGATTTTACGTTTAGAAAACCCTATCATCCCAGCCCAAAAACTTTATGAACAGATAAGAAACTTCAGCAAAGTCTCAGGATATAAATCAATGTGCAAAAATCACAAGCATTCCTTTACACCAACAATAGGCAAGCAGAGAGCCAAATCATGTATAAACTCCCATTCACAATTACTACAAAGAGAATAAAATACCTAGGAATACAGCTAACAAGGGATGTGAAGGACCTCCTAAAGGAGAACTAGAAACCCACTGCTCAAGGAAATAAGAGGGGACACAAACAAATGGAAAAACATTCCATTCTCATGGATAGAAGAATCAATATTGTGAAAATGGACATACTGCCCAAAGTAATTTATAGATTCAATGCTACTCCCATCAAACTACCATTGGCATTCTTCACAGAATTAGAAAAAAAAAACTATTTTAAATTTCATATGGAATAAAAGAAGACCTTGTACAGCCAAGGCAATTTTAAGCAAAAAGAATAAAACTGGAGGCATCATGCAAAGTGACTCCAAACTATACTACAAAGCAACAGTAACCAAAACTGCATGGTACTGGTACCAAAACAGAAATATAGACCAAAGGAGCAGAACAGAGACTGCAGAAATAATACCACACACCTACAACCATCTGATCTTCGACAAACCTGACAAAAACAAGCAATGGGGAAAGGATCTCCCATTCAGTAAATGGTGTTGGGAAAACTGGCTAGCTATATGCAGAAAACTGAAACTGGACCCCTTCCTTACTACTTACACAAAAATCAACTCAAGACGGATTAAAGACTTAAATGTAAAACTCCAAACCATAAAAACCTAGAAGAAAACCTAGGCAATACCATTCAGGACACAGGCATGGGCAAAGACTTCATAACTAATATACCAAAAGTAATTGCAACAAAAGCCAAAATTGACAAATGGGATCTAATTATACTAAAGAATCTCTGCACAGCAAAAGAAACTATCATCAGAGTGAACAGGCAACCTACAGAATGGGAGAAAATTTTTGCAATCTACCCATCTGACAAAGGTCTACTATCCAGAATTTATGAGGAACTTAAACATATTTACAAGAAAAAAACGAACAACCCCATCAAAATGTGGGCAACGGATGTGAACACACACTTCTCAAAAGAACACATTTACACAGCCAACAAACAGAAGAAAAAAAGCTCAACATCACTGATCATCAGAGAAATGCAAATCAAAATCACAATGAGATACCACCTCATGCCAGTCGGAATGGCAATTATTAAAAGTCAGGAAACCACAGATGCTGGTGAGGCTCTGGAGAAATAAAAATACTTTTACACTGTTGGTGGGAATGTAAATTAGTTCAACCATTGTGGAAGACAGTATGGTGATTCCTCAAAAACCTAGAACCAGAAATACCATTTGACCGAGCAATCCCATTACTGGGTATATGCCCAAAGGAATATAAATCATTCTACTATAAGACACATGCATACATATGTTTATTGCAGTACTATTTACAATAGCAAATATATGGAACCAACCCAAATGCCCATCAATGATAGACTGGATAAATAAAATGTGGTACATATACACCATGGAATACTATGCAGGATCAAAAAGAAGAAGAAATAAAGAAAAATAAAAGAAATGATTATTGCAAAGGGGCCCACTTTTAATTGCATCACACTGTTGAACATTTTATGCTATACAGCATTGTTAAAAACAATAGAGCAATTATCTGGAGAGAGTGGAGACTAACAGCTGGGTGTGATGCCAGCAAATGGTGTGAAAGGTGTGATGACAGCTTAATTTAGAGACCAGTGAAAGAGAAAGTCAGTGAGAGCCCTGACAAAACAATTGTCATCCCAGGTTGCTTCAAAGGGAGCTAGACTGCTCCCTTTGAAGAGTGACATCAAAGTCTTCACAGTGCAGGATGAAATAGACGTTACTAAGCTGTTTCAGCCAAGTCGCTAAACATATGAAAATCAAACAGCAAAAACAAATCATATGATTTGTTTGTTCAGAGCCACCATAACCTAAAAAATTTCCAGTTTTTGATCAAAAATTAAGATACATGTAAAGAAATGGGGAAATGTGACTATAAGTGGGAAGACAAAAGTTGGCAATGAAAACTGACTGTGAAAGGGCCCAGATGTTGGATTTAACAGATAAAAATCTTAAAGCAGCCACTATAAATTTGTTTAAAGAACTAAAGGAAACAAGTATCTGTGTTTAAAGAAATAAAGAAATGTCTGATGACAATGCCTCATTAAATAGAATATCAATATAGAAATAAACATTTTAAAAAATGAATTAAAAATGAAAATTCTGGATTAAAAAGTACGATAATGAAAATGAAGAATTTATTAGAGAGGATCAAAAAGTAGTTTAAACTGGCAAGAGAAAGAGTACCAGAAGTTGAGCATAGATCAATGTAAATTATATGCTCAAAGAAGTGAGAGAAAAAAGGAATGGATAATGGTGAACAGAGCCTCAGGAAAATGTAGGACACCATTAAGGACATCAGTGTAGGTGCAACAGAGTATTAGAAGTAGAACAGAGGAAAGAGAAGAAGAATTATTTTAATGAGATATTGTGTACAAATTTTTTAATTTTGATAAATATTAATTTACCCATCCCAGAAGCTTAACAAACTACAAATTGGATAAAAGCAAAAATATCCACATGAAGAGAAAATTTTGAAAGCAATAAAATTAAACTTGAACAAAACAAAAATGCAAGCAAAAACTCTTTCAACCAAATACCTTATATCCAGCAAAACTCTATTTCAAAAATAAAGATGAAGACATTCCCAGATAAAAACTGAAAGAATTTGTTTCTAGTAGACCCTCCTTACAAGAAATACTAAAGAAATTTCTTCAGGCTGAGAGAAAATAATCCCAGATGATAATCTGAATACATACAAAAAACCACAGAGAATAAAAGTAATAATATAATAATTGTATAAATTCATGTTTTTATTAATTAAAATTTGTATAAAAATAAATATATATAAAAATTGTATTTTTGAATCTGTATCATATAGAAATAATATACATTTTACCATAACAGGACACAGGTGGGTGTTAGCAAAGCTATACTGAAGTAAAGAGATGACACCAGATGGTAATTTGAATTTATAGGAACAAATAAACCCCAAAATGATAAATAAAAAGAATAACATAATAAACACTACAAGTCTATATAGGCACACCTCAGACATATTGTAGGTTTGGTTTTAGACTACCACAATAAAGTAAATATCACAATAAAGCAAGTAACACCTTTTTTTTCCAGTGAAAATAAAAGTTGTGTTTACACTATGCTGTAGTCTATTAAGTGTGTGATAGCATTACAGCTAAATCAATACTGTACATATCTTAATTTAAAATACTCTATTGTTAAAAAAGGCTAATAATCATGAAACTTCAGCAAATCATAATCTTTTTGTAGATGGAGGGTTTTGCCTCATTGTTGATGACTGCTAACTGTTCAGGATGGTGGTTGCTAATGTTTGAAGTTTCTGTGAAATTTATTAAAATAAGATAATTTTGAAGTTTACCACATTGTAGGACTATTCCTTTCATGAAAGATTTATCTGTAGCATGTGATGATGTTTGATAGCATTTTACCCACAGTAGAACTTCTTTCACAATTGCAGTTAATACTCTCAAACCCAGCTCCCGCTTTATCAACTAAGTTTATGGAATATTTTAAGTCCTTTGTTGCCTTTTCAACAAAGTTCGCAGCATCTTTACCAGAAAATTTTATCTCAAGAAGCCACTTTCTTGGCTCATTCATAAGAAACCACTGCTCATTCGTTGATTGCAGCAATTCAGTCATATCTTCAGGCTCCACCTCTAATTCTAGTTCTCTTGCTATTTCCATCATATCTGAAGTTACTTCTCCACTAAAGTCTTGAACCCCTCTACATCATCAATGAAGGTTGGAATCAACTTCCTCTAAAGTCCTGTTAATGTTGATGTTTTGACCTCCTCACATGAATCATAAATGTTCTTAATGGCATCTAGAATGGTAAATACTTTCCAAAGAGTTTTCAATTTACTTTTTCTAGATCCATCAGAGGAATCACTATGTATGGCAGCTATAGCCTTACAAAATGTATTTCTTAAATAATTAGATATTACAGTTAAAATTACTCTTTGATCCATGGGCTGCAGGATGGCATGAAAACATTAAACACCTTGTACATCTCTGTCATACCTCTTGGGTGACCAGGTGCATGGTCAACAAGCAGTAATGTTTTGAAAGGAGTATTTTTTTTTTTTTCCTAAGCAGTGATCTCAAAAATGGGCTTACAGTATTCCGTAAACCATGCTGTATACAGATGTGTATCATCCTGGCTTTTTTTGTCTGATTTATAGAGCACAGGTAGGGTAGATTTAGCATAATTCTCAAGGTTGATAGGGTATCAGGGTGGTAAATGAGCACTGGCTTCAACTTAAAGTTACCAGCTGCGTTATTCCTAACAAGAGAGTCAGTCTGTTCTTGGAAGCTTTGAAGCCAGGCTTTGACTTCCCTCTAACTATGAAAGTCCTAGATGGCATTTTCTTCTAATATAAGACTATTTCATCTCCATTGGAAATCTATTGTTTAGTGCATTTATTTACCTTCATCAATAATCTTAGCTAGATCTCCTAGAGAACTTATTGGCAGCATCTACATCAGCACTTGTTCCTTCACCTTGCACTTTTGTGATACGGGGATGGCTTCTTTCCTTAAGCCTTATGAACCAACATCTGCTACCTTCAAACCTTCCTTCTGCAGCTTCCTCACCTCTCTCAATCTTCACAGAATTGAAGAGATTTAAGGCCTTGCCCTGGATTAGGCTTTGGTTTGAGGGAATGTTGTGGATTTTTTAATTTTCTATCTAGACCAGTAAAACTGTCTGTATATCAGCAATCAGCCTGTTTTGCTTTCTTACAATTTGTGTGTTCACTTGAAATTTATTAAAAGTGAGTAGCACTTTTATTTCTTGAATTTTTTCTTTTTATTCACAACTTCCTAACTCTGGCACAAGAAGCCTAGCTTTTCGCCTGCTTTGGCTTTTAACATGTCTTCTTTACTAATCTTAATCACTGCTAGCTTTTGATTTCAGTGACAGATGTGGAACTCTTCTTACTTGAACACTTACAGGCTATTGTATGTTTTTTAATTGGCCTAATTTCTACAGTGTTGTGTTTCAGGGAATAGAGAGGCTCAAGAAGAGAAAAAGAGAGATAAAGGAAGGGCTGGCTGGTGGAGCAGTCAGAACACATGTATTTACCTATTGAGTTCATTGTCTTACATGGGTGAGGTTTGTGGAACACAAATCAATTAAAATAGTAATATCCAAAATCACTAATCACAATCTCCATAACATATAGAATAATAATGAAAGAGTTTAAAATATTGAGATAATTATCTGAATATGACACAGACACACAAAATGAACACATGCTGCTGGAAAAATGGCACTGATAGACTTGCTTGACATAGGATTGCAAGAAACCTTCAATTAATAAAAATTCAATATCTGCAAAGTGCAGTAAAGCAAAGCACAATAAAACAATGTATGCCTTTACTTGCACTCTTTTCTTTCTTAGCTTCTCTAAAAGAAATAAAAGTATATAAAGTAATACTTATAACAATGTATTGTTGTTTTGGTAACAGATAGATGTGATATCTTTCAGAATGATAGCACAAAAAAGGAGGAAGAGAAAATACAACTATGCAGACACTCTTCTACTTATGAAGGTTTAAGTTCCCATTTTGTGATGGCACAAAAACAATATGCATTCAGTAGAAGCCATACTTCAATATTCAATAAATTACATATGTATTCAACACTTCATTAAAAATAGGTTGTGTTTTAGATGATTGTGGCCAACTAAGGCTAATGTGAGTCTTCTGAGCACATTTAAGGTAGGCTAAGCTAATCTAGGTTAGCCTAGATTTTCAGTAGGTTAGTTATATTAAATGTATTTTCAACCTAGGATATTTTTAACTTACAGTGGGTTTATTGTGATGTGACCTTCAGTTGATGAACATCTGTACCTCATTATTCTCTTTATCGTAATAAATTGTAGAAATTTGAAGTTTCTAGTTAGTGCACATGTGAAGCTTATTGGAAATAATTCACTATTTAATTTATTATAGATAGTTTCTATATATAGATAAAGCAACATACTTAATTAACTATTACTAAAGGAATTAGGAGAGGCAGAAATATATTCTAGTGTTCTCTCTGTTTGAAGGGTACCATATCATAATTAATTTCTTTTTTAAGGAAGAACCATTTATACTTTCCCTTGGGCTGGGAGTAATATAAGAATCTGAGATAGAAATTCTTTTTCTTTCTTTCTTTCTTTTTCTTTCTTTCTTTTTCTTTTTCTTTCTTTCTTTCTTTCTTTCTTTTCTTTCTTTCATTTTCTTTCTTTCCTTCTTCTTTCCCTTTCCTCCTTTCCTTCCCTCCCTTTTTCCTTTCCTTTCCTTTCCTTTCCTTTCCTTTCCTGTCCTGTCCTCTCCTCTCCTCTCCTCTTCTCCTTTCTTCTCCTCTCCTCTCCTTTCCTTTTTTTCATCTCTTTCTTTTCCCTTCTTCATTTCCTCCCTTCTCTTCCTGCTCACCCCTCCCCCCTTTATTCTTTCCTTCCTTCCTTCCATCCATCTATACACAGTTTATTTATTATGCCAACTGACTGAAAGGGAATTAAGCATAATGAAAATGCTTTACGTCAGGAACAAATCCTGTTACCTTCAAAGCCTGTTACTGATGCTTTCATGTCCATGGAGTAGAAATGGAACTGAAACATAATACTGCAGTGTGGTATCATACAAAGGGGCTTGAATTTTGGGTTAGATATTCCCTTTAAAGGGAAGATGAATATAGGTCCAGAAATAGTTTGGTTTGATTCTTAGCATTAGTATTTGTGAACTGTGAGTTTGAGCAAGTTACTTAGCATTTTAAGCCCATTTATTCATCTCTTTAATGATGATAATATTAACCTCATAGGGTAATTTTGAGGAATAAATGAGATTAATGTGTAAAAATACTGGCCTCATAGGTGTTTAACTAATGTTTGCTGATGCTATTTTATTTTTGAAAAAATATGTGCAACTTAGCATTATTGCCTTGAAAAGTTATAGTAATTTGTGAAATACTCAGTTTGCTCATATACAGTATTTGGCTAGTATTTTAAACCATTTTGAGAACTTTTAATTAAATAATATTTTCAAGCGTATTTTCTTTTTTTTTTTGTCAAAGGAAGGTACTCATCAATCAAGCATATTTTCTAAAGAAAAAAAAAACCCAGCTATGCTAACTCTAGAGACATCCTAATGTAGTGTCACAAATAGAATAATAACTGTGACAATAATCAATATTTATTATTTATGTTCTTTGTACCATCGTAAATGCTTTATATACCTTTATCCAATTAATCTCTCAAGCAAGCCCACAAGTTTGTTGAATTTAAAATTTATCTACCTATAAAGTAGACATTCTTTTCTAATTTTATATATTGAAAAACTGGCTGGGCATGGTGGCTCACGCCTGTAATCCCAGCACTTTGGGAGACCGAGGTCAGGAGTTTGAGACCAGCCTGGCCAACATGGTGAAATCCCATCTCTACTAAAAATACAAAAATTGACTGGGCATGGTGGCATGCGCCTGTAATCCTAGCTACTCAGGAGGCTAAGGCAAGAGAATCGCTTGAACCCAGGAGGCAAGTTTACAGTGAACCGAGATTGTGCCACTGCACTCCAGCGTGGGCGACAAAGCGAGACTCTATCTCAAAAGAAAAAAACAAAAAAACAAAAACAAAGTGAATCACAGAAAGACTGTGCAACTATTAAGAACAGGATCCAGGAGTCTTTATTAGGGGATATAATAATATTTAAGCTTAGGTATTCCATCTAGTTGCAGAAAGATATTCTTCTGATAATGTGGTGAGAAAATAAAGAAAAAGTTGACTTCTATTTCAAAGAGCACAAAAAATAGAGACAAAATGTACAATGTAAAATTAAGCAATAAACAAGAAAATAATGGCCAAAACATATGGAAGTAATAAAAAAGCAAAACAAGAGTATGTATTATGTGCCTATTTTCCTCCATATTAGTACTAACCATAAGAGGAATGAAATATGCCAGTCTTGCCATCTATCTGAAGAGACAAGATGAAAACATAAGAAATAATTAGAGACAGTATACATCATATATTTAAGTACTAGATATAACTTGTGTGTGTGTGTGTGTGTGTCTGTGTGTGTGTGTGTGTGTGTGTGTGTGTGTGTGTGAGTGAGAGGGTGTCTGTGTGTATAGTGGGGCAAGTTAAATATTTTCCCCCATTCTTTTTTTAAAAATCTTTTTAAGATTCCATTTGTAAATAACTAAAAGGAAAGTTGTTGTACTGAAGACCCCAATAAAAGGTTAAAAACGTTTCTAACTGAAAAAGAAGGTCCTGGTAATTGGAGAAGATGGGTCAAGGTGACCGATGTTTCCTCAGACATGCCAAGATTTATGCTGGTGACAGAATGTTCTGAACCACAGAACAGAGAAGCCATAAGAAACAGGGACTGAGCAAAACAAATATGTTTAATGTAATGTTTAAGGTGATAAAAATAATAGGTCTCTTTCTCTAGGGCCTGTTTGAAAAAGATGAAAGAGGAAAGCAATCTAATCCTTCCTCTTCTTCCTATGTCAATTGGCTCCTTTCCTTTCTCTCTCCCTTTCCATTCCCCTTTCCTTTTCCTTTCAGCTTATACTTTAGATACCAAGTTAAACATAAGCCAGTTTAGTACCTGAGCATATCTATAGCAGTGTTTTTTCAAAGTAGGATCTCCATGCTATCATTATCAAAGTTATCTCCAGTGCTTGTTAAAAATGCTTATTTTTGCTCACAGCGCCAGGTCTCCTAAATAATCTTAGGTAATATCTGAAAATTGAGAACTACTCTGGGTCTGTGTGGAAGTCAGATCCCTACCATTATCTTTAAATAAACCAGCTGAGCCATATTTACCTATTATAATGGGGATTATGGTCAAAGACTGAGGAAAGACAAGAAAATATTTAATTTATTCCATTTCATTCAGAAACAGTGACTGCTATGAAGGTCAGGGCGAAGAGCACATTAAGACTCTTGGCACTCCTGGAGGATAAAATAGGACACAAGACTGTAGACCCCTGAGCTTGGACTGAGTCTTGGGCATCCATGTGTCTGTAAGTGGCAGTGTTTCCCCGTTTCTCAGTCTGCTGGCCCTACAGCATGCGTGAGCTTCCTCATTTTCTTGATTCTGTGAATGCATCCCTGAAGTGAAGTGCAGAGGCTTCAAGTGGCTGAAATTGAGAACCTATTCCTCAACCAGTTCTTAGAGTATGCCTCTCAGCTCCTGTAAGAACTATGTAACATAACCCTGCTATCATTACATTATTATTAAATGTAATCATAGAAGTGCTTGAAAAAATATAGGAAGTGACAGTAACATATATTGGGTGACAGTAACATATGTAGTGTTAGACACTATTCCAAGCATCTTCATGTAGTCCTTGCAGAAACACCATGGAGCTAATATTTTACCCCTTATACAGACGTACAAATTGAGGCCAGAGAGTTTAGGTAACTTGTTGGAAATTTTTTGTTAGTGGCAGCGCAAATATCAAAATCCAGATAGATGAATTTCCCAACCAGCACTTTGAACCAACATACCATATGGCCTCTTCAATAAGGTATAATAAGTACAGATAAAAATTACACAACCTTGGGATGAAGAAGGCTCTCTCTGTGTGACACCACTGAAGAAGCAATATGAGAATATATAATTAGTATGGAAATAAAGAAAAACCAAATGAGAAAAGTAAAGGCTATTTATTCTGAGCTTGCTATAGCAAAAGAGTCAACTACCATCACATGTGTTTGGGCAGAGACTCAGGCAAGCAGAGAAGGGCAAACCTTTATAGTGGAAAAAGGGGAAGACTTCAGGTTTACCCTGAATGGAGGCTTTTGTCATGGGGAAGCTGTATGTGGAATCACTAGAAGTGGGGCATCCTACTTTGTTACAGGAATGGGGCCAAAAATTAAGGAAGCCATCAGTTATTAATCAAAGCCTGGTCATTTGGGGCTGATTGCTGCGGAAGTTATTGGTTAGCTTGCTGAGTTGTCCTTAGGGATAGCATTTTCTGTTCTTACAAGTATGACGTAGCAGGCTGGCTTCCTGGGTCATTTATTGTAGATAAGGGGTTAGTTTCCTGGGCAGATGGCTATAGGTTGTGGGTCAAAAGTCCATTTTTATATATGGGCTGGCCACTGTCAATGTGTATATTCAGTTTCTCAATAGATTTAAAAACAAAACATGAAACGTCCTTGTCTTAGGAAAAGACAAAATTGAGATGAACATTAAAATATGAAATATAATTACAAAAGATAGGACAAAACATATGAACACATGTTAATATACGTACCATACAAAGAATTGTAACAAATTATGAAGAAATTGTTAAAAATCTCAATGGAAAATATAATCAGTGCAATAACAGGTAATTCACAAAAGAAGAAAATATACTTAACTAAAATGCGAATAAAATGAGTTTTAATTTTTAGGCTATTATGTTGACAAATATTAAAATGACTGACAAAAGTGAATGGCAGCAGGGGTTGGAAGAAACAGACATTCTGAGACGTTGCTCATGGTAGTCTAAATTGGTCCAGCTTTCCTGAAAGGCAATTTGGCAATGGTATCAAATGCCTTAAACATATGTCATCTCTTTGGGCCAGCAATGCTCTTCTAGGAATTTATTCTAAGAAGTAATAAAGCAAATGCACAAACATGAAGGAAGAAGGATGAGTCAAAAATAACCTATGAGTCAAGCAATGAGTTTGTTAAGTAAATTATGTAGTCCCTAAAAATGGTGATGTAGAAATGTATTAAGTGATGTGGAAAGTAATATATTAGGTTTTAAACTAGCATAATGTATTTGAGATAACAATCTAGAAGAATAAACATGTCTCAAAAAAAAAAAGAATAAACACCTAAAAGCTAACAATTTCTATCTTTGAGTGAATTATAGGGTTTTGAAAATGCTTTATTTATTTTTAGTTTATCAGTAATTTCTAATTTTCATAATGAATATTGTTCAAAATGAGCATTCGTGCTTTAGTACACAAAACTATATAAAGGAAACATATACAGTTCTCAATCTCTCCACTTAGAAAATATCTGTCACATTAAAAAAAGTAATCCATACACATTATTAGATTCTTCATACATTGTTCAGATGTTTATAATGAAAATCAGAGCTTTCTTCCTCTGCTCCTCTGTCCTTCCCCCCAAAATAGTTATTGCTAACAGAATTTTATTTATTGTTTTGCCAATATTTTAAGAGGAAAAAAGTTCATCCATCAGAAAAGGAGAAGAAAATTAACAGCAATTCCAGCCTGGTGTTTTTTGGCTCAAGAAACAAATGGTACCTTCTGTTTCTCCTTAGCTCTTGTCTGAAATCCCAGCTTTCCATATAATTGGATTCAAACTAAGATAATCTAAGTCATGCCATACAATCCATATTAGAATATAGCTTTTTGTAAGTCCATGACTTCAATACTCATCTTTATCTTCCACTGAAATTAAATATACATTCAAAAAGGCACAGTATATTCGATAGGCTGACCATACATTTATTGTGTTGCAATCTTGATGGGCAGTTGCATCATTCCAGATTATCCATGATGCTAAAAATTATTTCTATACTTCCATTGGACAGAGGAATTGAAATAGAAAACTGAACCAATTTAAATAAATTTAGAGCTACATTTTCTATGCTAAAAACAAGTTTTGATTTTTTTTTTAGTGTTGTTTCCCCAAGAGAAGTGATCATCTCATGTCCAAACTACAGACTTTCTCATAAAGAAAATTCATAGTGGGCTCTTATTTTCATGATGAAAACATTCAGATTTGAATTACTTCATCAAAAGAAGGAGATGACTCATGATTAGCCAAACATGAGCACCCAGAGCAGTATAGGGTAAATTTTCAAAAAGATATTACTTCTCTCTATAAATGAGAGCTCTTGTGTTCATATTTAATTCTTCACAGGTAAATTTACTGCCTACACAAGCTGGTAGGTGTTACCAGCATCTAAATAAGCAAGAGCACCATACTGCATAGAGGTTGCATAGTTATTTCACTATGTGATTAAATCCTCTACCAGAAAAACTTACTATTTTTTTCCTCCACAGAATTTTTGAACTAAATTAAAAACATTTTTTACTTATCAAAGACTTCATTCAATAAAGTTTTCAAGTATTTTTTTACCTTAAAAGAGGATTGTAAAATATCAGAACTAAACAAAGATCCAAGAGCTTCAAGGTTATAAGAGTAATGTTACATAGTCCTGCTGCACAGCTGAATATCACATCAGGCATGGATCCAGACTGGGAAGTCTGGCCTCCTGGGCTGTATTATAAGGACTACCAGGACTGCTTTGGTCTCAAATATACCACATCTTATGATTGCTCTTAGTTTTGCTGATCTTCCTAAGTCGATCTGGAGTACTCATTTATGAAAAACAGTCTTCTGAAGCCTACAACCTTATGAATGTTCCGATTATATTCCATTCAGTATCACTAACCCTTACCTGTCTGGATTACCAAGTCACCATGGTCTGGCCCAACTTTATGCTTTGATTTTGGCAGCATTGCTTAAGGCCTTTGAATTTTCTGTCTTCCATCTATTCTTATATCCATATGGTAGCTAACCACCAAAAGCTGGAAGACTTCTTCTATACTTCCTACTGAAAAAATGTTTCACCACAAATTGGATTAGTTATAATAACTCACTATGGTGTCCTTGAGAATATGCTTTTCAAAATAAACATGACTGTTTTTGCCGTTACAGTACCTGGGTTGCATGGTGTTTTTGCTGAACAATCCAGTTGACAATATTTGCACAGTAATATGAAAGTCATCCTTGGAGTTGAGCAATATGTTGTTCTTGCTTATATAGCCGCTGGTCACACCTAACCAAGATGTGGATGGTCAGCAAAGGTATCCTAGAAGTAATATATTAATTTATTCATTCTGTTATTTATTCATTCAAATATATGTTGTTTAACTTCCATATTCCAGGCATTTACTAAGTTTGTATATCCAATGAGGAGCAAAATGAACATAGTGCTCACCCACCTAGAAATTATGGCCTAGCCACCCGTTTGAGAATACAGATATTGAACAAATAAATATATAGGTACAAATTTTAATTGCTATGAAGAAAAATAATAGAGTGTCGTGTATAACTGCAACACTAGAATTGTATACTCAGTAAAATATCTTTCAATTTAAAAATGTAATATAGTTCTAGCTACTCAGGAGGCTGAGGCAGGAGAATCACTTGAACCTGGAAGATGGAAGTTGCAGTGAGCTGAGATCGCGCCATTGCACTCCAACCTGGGCAGCAAGAGCAAAACTCCACCTCAAAGAAAGTAATATAAAGATGTTTTTACAAAATAAATACTATAAGAAATAATAATCAGAAGACTGTCCATTATTTAAAATCTAGAAAAAAAATTTCAGGTCAAAAGAAAGTGGTCTCTGACTAAATGTTTGAGTTTTAAGCAAAAATGAGGATTGAATAAAGTGGTAAATTAGTGAGCCAATATACGTGAATGTTGAGTCTGTAAAATAAAAATATAACATCTGTTGGGCTATCATATAAACAAAAAGTATGAATTTAAGGTGTTAGATAACCCCAAAAATGTGAGATCTCCAAGATAAATAAATTGAAATGGGTGCATTAATGTTGAAGTTTTAAGATACTAGTATTTTCAAAAAAAGAGGGTAAATAATTGTTTAATTACAAACGTTATTAAGTCAGTTATGCGTGCTATAATTGTTAATGTTACCACAAAAAGAACAGAAACAGAGGGCCTAAATTTTATACTAATGATGGGAGAAAATATCATTAAAGATATTTAATCATCCAAAATAAATAGGAAAATAGACAAAAATGGAGACCATATATAGGCAGTATAATACAAGACAATAGAAATAAGTCAAAACGTATCAGTTATTCCTTTCAAAAATAATGAACCAAGTGCTCCAATTTAGAAAAAAAAAAAGATAATTCAAAGGAAATGAGTCTGTGTTGTCTATAAGAAATATATCTAAAATGCATGGGTATAGAAAATTTTGAAAGTTAATGGATAGAAGAACACATGGCATTAAATCCTAATGAAGAGGAAGCTGATATAACTGCATTAATCAGAAACAATAGAGACTTTAAGTCAAATATTAGCAAAATTAAAAGGAAGCATTTCACAATGATAAAAGAGTTAATGAGTAGAACAATGTAACCATTTTTAAGTTGTATGGATATATTAGCAAAGTCACAAATTATTCAAAATAAAAATTAACAGAAATACAATGAGAAACTGATAAATCTCCAGAGTTAGAAAGTTCAGCACTCCTCTCTCAGAAACTGATAGTCAAGCATTCAAAAATGGCAGGATATAAAATATTTGAGAAACATAATTAACTAAGTTGACTCATCGACTACAGAATGCACATTAATTTCAATCATGCACAGATCATTTATAAATATTTAACACTTACCAGGTCATAAAATATGTCTAAGCACAAAGTGTTCCAGAAAATTGAAGAGAATGTTTCCCAACACATTTTATGAGACCAGCATTACTCTAATAGTAAAACCAGAAGAAGACATTACGAGAATAAAACTATAGAACAATATTTATCATGAACATGCATGGAAATAATTTCAACTAAATTTTAGAGAATCATATTGAACTATATATACAAATAAATTTATACTGTGATGAATTTTGATTTATCCCAGCAATACAAATTTGGTTTGACCTTTAAATATCAACCCATATAATTCATCTTATTAACAGACTAAAAACATACATGCACACACCAAAAAATGTTGTGAGCATCACAATAGATGCAGGAAAAGCATTTGAAAAAACTAACATCCATTACTGATGAATATTATCAGAAAAAAAGAAATAGAGGAGACTTACTTTATCTGTTAAATGCCATCTATGAAAATCTTTCAGTTAACATCATTATTAAAGGTGAAAAAAGTGAATGTATTCTTCTAAGATTAGAAACAAAGTAAGGATATTTAGTTTCAACACTACTAATTAACATTATACTGGAGGTTCCAGTTAGTGCAATAAGGCAAGAAAAAGTTTTAATGACACATTATTGGAAAGGAAGAAGTAAAATTGTCTTTATTTACAGAAAACGCAATTGGTTATGTAAAAGATCTTATGAAATATAAAAAATAAGCTAATAAATCTAATATGTGAGTTTAGCAAGGTTGTAGAATATATGATCAATATTCAAAATCAATTGGATTTTTATGTCCTAGTAACCAGTAATCAAATAATGAAACATTAAAAATATAATTTACAATAGCTTTGAAATATTAAATATTAAGGGACAAATCTGAAAAAAGATGCACAATGCTGGTACAATAAAAAATAGAAAATTCAGAGATAATTTTAAGCAGTCTTAAAACAAAGGAAATACTATGTTCATAGATTGGATGGCTTGATATTTTTAATGTGTCAATTGTCTCTAAATTCATCTATATATTTAATATTCTATCAATCCATATTCCAAAAGTTGTTCTGTGTAGGCTGTTTACCGGCTAATGTGAAAATTCATATTGAATATAAAGAATCTAGACTATGTAAAGCAACATTGAAGATAATAAAGTTGCTATATACCTCCTATCAAGGTATATACTACCTGCTATCAAAATTTACTATAAAGCGATGGTAATCAAGATACTGTGGTATTGGCATGATGATTGACAAATAGATCAATGGAACTAAATCAAGTCCAGAAGTAGACCTGCAAATATATAATTAATTGAATTCAGCAAGACTGAAGAAGCAATTCATAGGAGAGGCATAAATTTTTCCAACAAATTATTCTTGAGCAATTTAAATATCCGTATGCAAAATATCTTAATTTGCATCATTTAATTAAGTTCATACTCACATATGATACCAAAAGTAACTCACAAATAGATATTAGATCTAAATATGAAACCTAAAACTATATACATTCTAAAAGAATACATAGGAGTCAATCATTTTGGTTTTGGGTTAAGCAAAGATCCCTTAGACACAGCACCAAAATTTACAATACAAAAAAGAAATAAAAATAAATTAGATTTTATAAAATTTACGTATTTCTGTTCTTTGGTATACACTGTAAACAGAATGAATACAAAAACATTACAGATTGGGAGAAAAAAATTGCAAATCTCATGTCTAATAATGAAACCATATGTAGAAAATATAAAGAATTCTCAAAATTCTATAACAAAAATTTAACAACTTCATGAAAAAAGAGGGCATAAGATTAGAAGAGACACTTTACAAAGTGAAATTCAGTTTGCAAATAAGCACATGAAAAGATGCTCAAACTCTTTAGTCATTAGGGAAAGGCAAATTAATACACCAATGATAAACTCTCATATACCTATTAGAATAGCCAAAGCTAAAAATACTAACATACCAAACACTGGCAAGTGTGTGGAACAAGTGAACTCTTGTATATTTCTGGTGGGGATGAAAAAATGGTACAAATCATTTTGCAAAATAGTTTGACAATTTCTTAAAAAATTAAATGTATACCTACATATGACCCCACCTTTCTACTTTTAGTTATTTATGCTAGAGAAATAAAAAAATCATACAAATACTTATATACCAATGTTCAGAGATGCTTTATTTGTAATAGTCAAAACTATACACAACCCAAATACTCATCAATAGGTGAATAATTAAACAAATTGTGTTTTATCAATATAATGCAATTCTACTCAATAACAAAAATAAGAAACTATTGATATGTACAAATAGGTGAATCTCAAAAGAATAATGCTGAGCTGAAAGTAGCTAGACCATAAAAGAATACATACTATATAATTCTAATTATATAAAGTTCTAGACAACGCAAACTAATACATAGTGACAGAAAGTAGTTCAGTGGTTGGAAGAAAATTGTGAGAGAGACTTGAGGATAGGTAAAGCAAGGTATTACTAAGAGACATGAGAAAACTTTTGAGGGTATGTGTATGTTCATCATCTTGATTGTGATGATGCTTCACTAATATGTATATGTGTGCATGTGTGTGTAAATATACACACATATACATACATAGATCAAAATTATATACTTTTAAATTTTTTTAGTATATATATTGTTACACTTCAATACATTTTTAAAAACTACTGAGGACTGGACTGTAAATTAAAATTAAAGTCCAACTGAAATCATGAACTGTAAATGCAAAAATTCTTTAAAAAAACCTAGCAAATGCAAATACTTAAGACTATTGTACCATATAAAAATGATAATACATCACAGCCAAGCTCAGTTTATCACAGGAATGTAAGCTGATTTAGCATTAAAAACTTAATCATTTTAAGTCATCAAAACAACAAATTAAACTGAAAAAATTATTTTCAATGTATTCAGAAAAAGCATTTGATTAAATTCAACATTTTTACTTCTTAAAAAAATGGTTATCTAGGAATAGAAGTTCTCATTAATATGATAAAGAGTATCTGACATAAAGCCTTCTACAAACATATTATTTTATGATCAAATGTCAAAAACTTTTTCTTCAATTAAAGAATAAGACACTGTTATCACTGACCTCCGGTTCTCAGCCAGTGCAATAATGACAGGAGAAAAGGTAGAAAATTTTTTAAAAAAGAAAAAAATTTGAAGGAAGAAATTCTCATTATTCATAAATGAAATGTAGAGAAATGTGCAAATAAATATTTAAATTTATAAGAGATCTTAGCAAGTTCAATATATACAATAATCCATATAAAATATTAATTGTATGTTTATATACCATCAAAACTTTTAGTCAATAAAAATTTTAAAAGCTATAATTTACATATTTATATAAATTACTTAAAACCTGCAAAAGAATCTAATAAAATATGTGCAAGACCTTTACAGACAAAATTTATAACTTTATTGAGAAAGATTAAATAACACCTGAGGACATGGAAAGATACACTGCATTAATAGATTGCACATAAATGATTTATACATTGAATGCAATCATAGTCTTGATCCTAATAAGCTGATTTTTTTATTTATATGGAATTGCAAAGGGTTGAAAATAGCCAAGACATTTTTGAAGGAAAACAGTGTGGGAGAACTTGCTCTATTATCTTTATGCATTGTAGTCCAATAGTAATAAAGACAGTATGGTATTGGCAAACATAGATCAATGAGATGGAATAGAGAGCTTAGAACCAGTGTTAAGCATAAATGAATGTTTGATTTATTATGATGCTACTGTACAGAAGTATAGAAAACACAAACCTTTCAGTAAACCATGCTAGAATAATTGACTATCAATTTTTTTTAAGTGAACTCCTATCACCATATTAAAAATAAATCCATTTGTGAGGATGTAAATTGATCTTTAAGATCTAACAGTTAATGGTAAAAAGCTATAAAGCTTTTAAAAAGAATATAGAGAAATATATTTAGACCTTTCGGTAGAAAAGCATTTCTTAAACAAGATCCAAAACACAGAGCCATAAAGACTTACAAAGAGGAATAGACTAAATGAATAATTACCAATAATCAAAAGATACTTTATTAAAGAGACAACATCAGTTACAGAGTAGGAAAAGATATTTAAATTATCCATAATGAACAAAGAACCGGTATCCAGAATATATAACAAACTTTTCAAAATCAAAGTGAAAAGAGACAGATATTTCAACACAAAAATTGGCTAAGAATTAGGAAGAGGCTCAAAACAGAATATCTAAGTGACCAGTAAGTAAGTTTAAAGTTTATGTGAATATTCATTAGTAATTATGGAAAGACAAATTATAATTACAATGAGATACCAATACACATGCTCCACATTGTCAGATACTAAAACTTACTTGGCTATATCAAGAGTTAGCAAGAATATAACACACATGAACTACCAGCACAGCATAATGGAAGCTGGTATGGTATTAATTAGTAATACTATAAATGAAATTTTAAAAAAAACCATATATCCTATGGAGTGGTCTTTTCATTTCTAAGTGTATACCCGATAATTTTTATGTTTACATGCAACACAAAACAAGATGCAAGAATGTTCAAAGGAGTCTTTTCCAAAATTTCCAGAAATTGAAAACCATACTTTAATAGCATAATGGGTAAGCAAATTGCAATATCAATAAACTATAGAATACTATACAGCAATAAAAATCAATGAACTAGTTCTACGTACAATATGGCTAAAATTTATCATATTAATATTGAATAAAAGCAAGTTATAGAAATACATGCAGTGTGATTCTACTTATGTAGTGTTCAAAACTGCCAACACTAATGTATTTTGCTTAGGGGTGATAAAAGAAGAACCAATATTAAAGAAAAACGAAGTATTAATTATTTTTAGTGTCAGAAAATTGCTTACCCCAAACAAAATGGCGTGGTAGGTGCAAATACATGTAAATGGAATGGTAGGTGCAAATACATGTAGGGATTCTGAAAAGGTTGATAATATATTGCTTGTTCTATATAATATTTACATGAGTGTTGTTTACAGTTATTTAGTAAACTGAGCATATATTTTCTGTACATCTATATGTATCCATTCTATTTCATAACAATAGAGTTTAAAAAATAAAAATCACATGTCTTTGGAAAACCTGGGCTTGTTCCCTGGCCTGCTCCAGGCTTTGTAATACTAGGAAAGCCTCAATATCAGTTTCTTATGAGGCGCTGAAGAAACTATCAGCAAATGGTCTAAGTCAGGGGAAGGCACATGCATCTTTGAGCCTGCTCCAGCACTACCCATGGATCAGAAGTGAGTTCTCTGAAAATTTTTATTCCTGCTTCTTACCCACACCACAGAACAAGATGCAGGAACGTTCAAAGCAGCCTGTACCTACCGTCTAAAAGCTTAGCATAAATGGATCTTTGATTTATTATGGTGTTACTGCAGAGAAGTGTAGAAAAAACAAACTTCAGTATATCATGCTGGAATAATTGACTATTAATATATTTTTAAGTAAACTCCTGACTCTCACCATATTGAGAAAAAAATCAATTTGTAAGGATCTAAATTGATTTTAAGATCTAAAAGTTAATGTTTAAAGCTATATGGCTTTTACACACACCTTCTATACACACCTGAACCTCCAATCTTAAAACTAAGATCTCTAGACTGACTTGCACGCTGTAGGAGAAAATGTATAGTGCTGCTTCAATCTGAAGGTAAAGGCTCATGACTTGAGTGTAACCGGTCACGATGGCGCACTTCACCTACTCTGTGGAGGCTGCAAATTGTCCCTTCATGTGAACTGACAGCATCTCGAAGCACTGGATTGGTCTGGCAGTGAAGCAGGGAAACTGTGTTGAAGTGAAAATAATCTGATACACAAAAATGTTCAAAGTCGTTATAATAGTAGAGAAATGTTATGGTTGGTGCAAGAGCAAGTCATTACTGAAGGCAAATGACTGAACTAAATAAATTTGATTTCCCTTGGATTTTAACTTCATGGGTGGCTGCCTATAAGAAAATTCAATATATCTCTGGGACTTTTGCCTCTCTGTCAATGTGACTGAAATCTGCCTATGAAATCCCAATAATTTCATTCCATAAAGAACTAGGAAAATATTTGCAAGCTATATTTTTAATCAGAATTCAGAATTCCTCAAGACTACAGTTTCTTTGTCAGATTAGTTTGTAGCATCATAAAAATTTCAATTTTGTATGTGTTGAAAGGGGACAGTTTGATTCCCAGTAGAAAAAGGTCAGTTTGAGATGAAGCTTAGACAGTGAAACATTACTACATAATGATAGCAGGGGAATCACGTCTGGTTGTTTGAAAAGTGCTAGTTTCTGTAATTAGCAAAAGTAATATGTAAGATATAAGGATGAAAACTGAGAGAAGGATTTCAGAACCCATTCTGGTTTTAATTTCCACTGTATCCTGGCAGAAGCCCCGGGTTGTTGGATCTAGTGAAAGAGTACATCTAGAAAGGATCATAGGTCATTGAAACCGTATTATCTGCTTTGGTGTTCTCTGGCTCAACATTCTAAAGCAGGAGTGTCCAATCTTTTGGCTTCCCTGGGCCACGCTGGATGAAGAAAAATTGTCCTGGGCCACACCTAAAATACACTAACGCTAACAATAGCTGATGAGCTAAAACATAATGCTTTAAGAAAGTTTATGAATTTGTGTTGGGCGGCCATCCTGAGCCACATACATGCTGCCCGCAGGCTATGGGTTGGCTTGTCTAAAGGCAGAATAGATAAAAGATTAGGTAAGACACAGGCATGACCCCCTGAGCCTTCTTCCCATAGGGAAGCAGGCTGCAATTATACTTTGGAAGTGTATGAAGAACTGCTTGATTAAATAGTAGACTACTTCAGACCATGGGTTATACCTTTCTTTCTTTTCTCTGTATTCTACAAGCCAACCTCACACTTCCTAACACAATGTTCCTGTGAATCATCCACTCAACAACTATTGATTTGCTGACAGATATGCAACTTGCTTGTTGTGGGGCCACTGAGAAAGCCACAAGATTAAATATAAGTACTCTTCCCTGCAGTTCTCACATCAATTGACCCTGTACAGATGAGAGAAGCTAACACTTCCATTTCGTGTTACAAAAAGTATATTTTATTTTAGGATCTATCTTATTCTAGGAAGTAATTATGATGAATGGTTAGCAAGATCACTTCAGTCCCCTAAAAATATCAAGTGAGGATCTAGGTATCTTTAACAACTGGTTCAGACTTAAGAGAGGCAGGAAAAAAAAATAAAAATAAATTAAAAAAGCACGTCAGAGTAAATCAATTAGGGTACGCTTCATAGCCACATATCATAATGTCCTGAGGAAGAAAGAAAATGTTCTTGTTACAGACTTTTCAGCAAGTGTCCTGAGATCCACCCTGACTGGGCTGTTTATATCACTTGCTTGTCCCCATACCAGTGATCGTGGTCAAGGAAATACAATGGGCTAATTACCATAAGCCAAGAAGGCTTGACCTTGAAGAAGTTCATTTTTCTCACAGTTTCTTAAATGAGGTAAGAGTAGAAGCCTGAACCAAAATTTGAAAGTCACAGGAAAGAGAAAACTATTCTGAAAAGACGAACCTAAAAAAATAAATAGAAGGAAAAAAAGAAAAGCAAAAAGGAAAATAAAAACCAGTTGCAATGGTTCTCAACTTTGGCTGTAGGTTAGAATCACCTGGGAGCATTTAAAAATCCTAATGACAAGGCGACATCTCAGGCCAAATAAATCAGAATCTCCTGGGGGAAAGGGTTGGGCAGACCTTTTCTTTGGCTTTACAGTTGATTCCAACGTGCCTTTCAATGAAATCACTGCATTGCATGGGAGGAGTTTATTATGGGAAGACAGAACTTATATCTGTCAGCTTCTCTCCTTATGTGGGGATGTTGAGGAGAGATGAGTTGGTTTTGTTCCCCAAGCTCCAACAGCTTAAAGCCACCTGAGCTGACAGTTGCATTTCCCCTTACAAAGTGGCTTAAATGTAGTGGAATTGTACTTTTCCAGCTTCACAATGAACAACACAAAGGTTACAACAGCGGCTAAATCCCACGTGGGAAGCACAGAGAAAGCCATTGTAAGTACTGCTTTTCCAGAGTGACAGAAAATAGAAGGGGATTATAGTTGGGTTTAAAATACCTTTTTCTTCCCTCCACCATTAACAGTATTTTTTAGAGCGTTCAACCATGAGTCCAGCATGGCCAGCTGCAGCACAGCTTTGTTTTGTTTTGTTCTCTGAGTCTTATCACTCTCCTTTCATTTATTTATTACTCATTCTCTCACTCTCTGTTTGCTGCTCTGGATTCTGTATTACCCGTTAGAGAATTTAGCAGATGAATTAAGCCCAAGACTGAATTACAACAGAGAGAAACCAAACCCCCTGCAGACTCCTAGTTTCCTGGTTTTCCTTTCTTCTTCCTCTTCTTTTGTTTTGTTTTGGAAAAGAGGAATGAAAAAATAAAAAATAGGTTTTTGTTGTTGTTTGACTTCTGAAAGTGCTTTGGCTTTTTCAGAAAGTCTTCTCTTTCTATTAGTTCATATTGTGTTGTTCTGAATACACTTTCCTGAAAAAAAAAATCAGCTACGCTGGGCGCGGTGACTCACACCTGTAATCCCAGCACTTTGGGAGACTGAGGCAGGCAGATCACGAGGTCAGGAGTTCGAGACCAGCCTGACCAACAAGGTGAAATCCCATCTTTACTAAAAATACAAAAATTAGTCCAGTGTGGTGGCACGCACCTGTAATCCCAGCTACTCAGAAGGCTGGGGCAGGATAATTGCTTGAACCCTGGAGGCAGAGGTTGCAGTGAGCCGAGATTGTGCCACTGCACTCCAGCCTGGGTGACAGAGCGAGACTCTATCTCAAAAAAAAAAAAAAAAAATCAGCTACAATTGGCCTATGTTTTGTCCTAAATTCATTCCTTTACCATTAATTTGTTAATAAAACATAAATTATTGAATGGCTAATGTATGCCAGGCACTCTACTAGGTTCTAGAGATAAAGTGGTGCCAAAAATAAATGAATAAAGTCTCTGTCCTTATGAAGCTTACTTTTTTAAAATAAAGGATCACTTTTTAAATTTTTAGTTTTTTTAACTTTTATTTTAGTTTTTGGGGCACATGTAAAGGCATGTTACATAGGTAAACATGGGTCATGGGGGATTTTTATACATATTATTTAATTATCTTGGTATTAAGCCCAGTATCCAGTAGTTATGTTTTCTGCTCCTCTCCCTCCTCTCACCCTCCTGCCTCAAGTGGGCCCCAGTGTCTGTTGTTTCCTTCTTTGTGTTCGTAAGTTCTCTTTTTTTTTTTTTTTCACTTCTTCAGAGAGAACTTCCATGACCAACCTGTTTAGAATGGCACCCTGAATCAGGCTTCATCTCTTCACCAGATTTATTTTTCCTCTAAGCACTTATCATTACTGATGTATGCATTTTGTATTTTCATATTTATTGTCTCTCACCCTACTTGAATAAAAATGCTAAAATTATCATAGAACGAGCTTATAAAAAAGGTGGGCACTACATTCGACCTGAAATGTATAATAATTAGAAACAACCAAAAAAGAGATACTTTAAAAAAATGTATTCCTAGATATACAATTGCTAGGCTAAGTAGGTTCTTGATTTTTTGTTATGTAAAATATTCTAAGCATAAATCTAAATATTCAATTCAATTCTCTTGTTATCTTTACAGAAAGTAAATTCCAAATGGTAAAATTCAAAATATTTATTTGTTTTTTCTTTTAAATTCACAACCATATTCTTATACACAAAAAAAAACACACCCAGCTCTCAGTTGATGATTCCGAGTCATCCTCTATACATCAGTCTTCATCACTCACTCCTAATTATTATTATATCTTTATTATTTATATATATACACACATATATGTACACACACATTACATGCATACACATACACACATGCACACACATATACACACACATATATGTAACAGGAGAAAGCTTAAAAGATAAAATTGAGAATGTCTTGCAGGAAAGAGAATAAGAGGACATATATTGAAAATGGAAGACAATAGGGCAAAAATAGAAGATCAGTTCAACAAATCCCACGTTTGATTAAAAAGTGTTTCTAAAATAAGAATCACAAAATAGAGAATGAAAAAAAATTTTTTAAAGCAAAAAATAAACAAGCTAACAAAAGTCCATGACAAAAGAACACAATTTTTCAGAACGAATGAGTCCATTGAGTACCTACAGAATAATTTTTAAAAGACTCATACGAAGACACATTTTTCATGAAATTTTAGGGCACTAGGAGTAAAGAGAAAGCCCTTAAAACTTCCACGGGGTAAAAAATTAAGTCTCAAGCAAAAGATAGGGAATAAATGCGGCAATGGATTTCTCAACAGCAACTCTGGAAGCAGAAAGATACTATTCTTTAAAATGCCCAAGTACATCATTTTCAATTCTATACCCACAAAATAAGTGTGAGGTATATTGTAAGCAAGTATGTGAACAAGAACATAAAAAATGTCAAATAATTAAAAAACAGGAAGAACACAAACTTTAGTAGAGCCATCCTGATGGATATAGGAACGAGATTCAAGGTAGTTTCAGGAATTTTAGCAAAAGATGTTAAGGAAAAGAAAATGAAGTTAATGTGTTACATGTACCCTAAAACTTAAAGTATAATAATAATAAAATTAAAAAAAGAAAGAAAATGAAGTTAAATCCAGTGCTTAACCATTATCCTGACTCAGATGCTTCTCATTTGTTTTCTGTATTCTCTCTTCTTTTATTTTCACCTTTTTAAAAATACTTGTTGGTATTTATATTTCTGTTTCTCATACTAATTACCTGTCTGTCCTTTAAACATGGACTGGATCAAATTATTAAGCGATGAAACTTGATTTCCACTGCCTATTTGTTAGGCACATTATAGGTCACTGAACAGTATGGATTGGTCAGTTTCTGATCTCTAATTATCAACCAAGAGTGGTGGGAAGGTTCCATGAATTACAAATTGGGCCACTTGGTGTATCTTTAGCAAGGCCTATGAATGAGACAGTTTTATATAAAGCAGAGAGTCTTCATAAGTACCACTTGGGAACTTATTAGATATGCAGACTTGGGGGCCTCTTCTTTAGATCTACTACTCATTCAGAAACCCTGGGGGTGAGATTCAGTGATCAATGCTTTAGCAGTCCCTTTGCATGATTTTGATACATTCTATAATGTTTGAAAGCCACTGAGTCAGAAGGTGCTATTGAAGTATTACCAAATATTTAGTCTACATAATCTCTCTGTGTCTAAGAATTTCCAGTGGTAAAAGGTGATATTATTTTTATTTTTTTTCTGAAAATGTAATTGCATTTTGTATGTTAACTTGGCTTAACTGAGATGGACATGGATAGCAGGCAGGTGTATAATTATTTCAGCATGCCCTCCCTCTCCAAATAAAACACTATATATATGTATACTTCTAGCATAGCCCAGAAACATTTCATGTAGCAATAAATGTCAGTTTTTTTGAATATGTCCAACCACAGGAAACTCTGTTTTTGTTTTCACTGTTCTGATTTCTCCCACCCATAGGCCCATATTCTTTCCACTAGAGCAATGCAGAATTAATTTAGATTCAACTGTCACTTACTGAGAATCTAGGATGTGCCATATATCTTTTGGATACTTAATTACTCTTTGCTTTAGGCATTTTATGCCTTGGCTATATAGAAGTCCTTGAAACATTTGTAGACACCTTTATATGTCTCTTAAGTCTTTTTTCCCAAGCAATACAACCCTAGCTCTGTCAACTGCTTCTCATACGATATGGTTTTAGGCCTTTCAAAATTCTGGTCGTTTTCCCTAGATCACGTTACATCTTTCTAATGTGGTACCAAATTTCTGATATTTCAATATTTAAATGCTACATAAGTTAGCAATGATTTGACACATGTAGCATATTATCTCCTTTGTTCTGGACACAGCATTCCTATTAAAGAAACCTAAAATTACTCTCAAATCCCAGTCATATAACTGTGGTTCATATAAACTAATGTCATAACAGGTCTCTCCTGACATGATTCTCTTTAACAGAAGTGTGTTATTTTACATCTGTTCATATTATATATTATTTTAGTAGTTTTAGTCATCATTTCAATCTGTCATGATTTCTTTGAACTTTGATTCTATCTTGTTTCTTTTTATCAGCTATTCCTCCCATATGTCTATCATCTGCAATGCTTATAATCATGCTTTTATGTCTTTGTTCAAGTTGTTGGTAAAAATGTTGGGTAGAACAGATTCCAATAATAATGCACATAATACTAATATTTTATATTTTCATGATGCTAAAGCATTCACAAAGCACATTCATGTACATGACCCCATTTGATACTATAATCCTAGGTTATAGGAAGGGCAGCCTTTTTGTTCTTACTCTCATATTATAGATAAAGAAATGGATGCTAAGAGAACATATCATACCACTACTGGTTGAGAGTTTGTACTATAACTTAAGTATTTAAGATAATTTTTTGTTCATAATGCCAACCAACTATGATTTTGAATCCACCTTACTGTATTATGATTCAGCCCATATTCATGTATCTGTAAGCAGTTTCATGAAGCAGAAAAACCTAAATCCATTCTTCTGGAAGAAATATAGTTAAAACAGGTGGGATAGACCAAAGAACAAGAGTCCCTGTTGACAAAAGTGATGAGCAGACAACTCAAAGCTAGATAGCTTGACTCTCTACATGCAATATGAGAAATATTGTCTTGAAGAAGGGAAGTCAGGGAAGCTGACGGGCAAATCTACTTTGGTGTGAGCAAAGTACCATGTGGGAGATATCCTCCAGGGAAATATAAGGTGCCACATGTTCCTTGTTTCAAAGCCAAATCTGAGGACTAAGAACATAATTGATGGTAAATCTAGCTGATTGAAGAAATCAACCCTGAGAATAGGCATTCAAGGCCAGAACAGGGTAACATCCTTCTCTAACGTGAACCCTGACTCAGCCCATTCCCACTCCTAGGAGGCTTCATCCCCAAAGGATGCACAATAGTGAGGCACTTCAGCTATCCACAGCACAGCAAACCTGCTATCAGGCAAACATGAATGGAAGTGGAAAAGGGCCTTGATATTGAAGCATAGATCCATCCTTCCTTAACAGGGCAAAATCACAGCGATAACCAAGGTAACAGATCAGGCATCTATTATGCTGAATCATACAAAATTATGAAATTATGAATGTTTGACTCTTTTGACCAATGACAATTTTATATGATTTACCCAATACATTCTAGTTATATTCTGAAAGGTTTTTAAAAGACTAGGATAAGGAAATGTGCCTAAAATATTAATCATAGCTTCTTTCCTTTAAAAGCCTTTAGAAAAGAGGTGACTTTAGTTGGATTTCGCTATTTTTTGGGCATTTTATAGTTTTATTTGAATAAAATATTGACAAATATCCTAGAAAATCTATCACATTAGTAAAAAAACCTTAAATAAATTCAATCAAACAAATATATATTGAGGATTTTCCATGTACTAGGCACAAGATCTCATAGGTGCTAGGAATAGAAAAATGAGTAACATAAAATTTCTAACTTCAAGAGTTCCTAACCAAATTGAGGGATAAGACAAAAATAAATAAGTTATAGTAAATTAATTCCAGATTAAAATATGGGAAGATACCACTTTTCTGGGTCAGTTAGGATAAAGAAGTTTTTCCAGATAAGAAGACAACAGATCTGAGTTTTGAAGCATGACTGTGGGTTAGCCAGGTAGACAAGAGGGGTTAAAGGACATTCTAGGCCAGGAGAGTAATTAATTATACAAAGGCCGGGGGTATAGAGATGATGGAAGTGTTGAAAGATAATGGAGAGTCACATAGAGACACAAAATTTGGAAGTATGTTCTTTTATTGACAGTATCACCTACTGGTAATGTTAATTAACCTTGTCCTGATGAAAATCTTAAACATCTTTGATTTTTTTAATATATAACATCGGCGCTTGAATATTTTCTTCTGAGTTTTTTTAATTTAATTTCCTTGTGTTTCAGATTTTAAAAAGTTACATAGTAAATTGTAAAAGAAGGAAAGTGTTATGCCTTGATTGAGTTACCTAACTTTATTTGCATAGCTATGTACATTTTAAAATAAAGCACCATATCAAAACAAACAATAATATCCCTGCCATGTTATGCAGAGGTATGATTATACACTTTAAAACTCAATTTTATTGTGCCTATATGAAGGCTGGTTGTTGATTGCTCAGAGTTTTTTTTTTTTTCAAAAACATAACAATCTTATTCTTCATCTTAAAGTTCTAAAGTTCAACTATATTTGAATTATCCATAAAAAACAAGTTTTTAATGAAATTCCCCTCCCTCCACCATCCCCTCCCCTCCCCCGCTTTATAACTTAAAAATTACTAAAGCAATTTGTGTGCTAAAGGTGGGTGGGGGCTCTTTGTTCTTAGACTAGGGCAAGGGAGTTTGAGAATCAAAAGATAATTTCGTGAAAGAAAAGGGTGAACAGGTCAAAACAGAAGGTGATACTGAATGTTGTTTTGAAATGCTCACAATAACTTCCCTTCCCACTTGCGTTTCTGGTGACATAGTCTGAAATAAAGCTGTCAGGGCTAGTCCCCCAGGGTCCCTCTGCAGACCCTCTTTCAAAAGCCATAAAGATCCAGGATTCTCCATCTACTCTCTTCTACTTTAGAGTGAGAAACACATAAGATTGAAAGGAAGGTTAAAATCTAAGTCAGGCAACAAGGAGGTGGCTGAAAGGGCTTGTTCACCCTGCGGTGTAATGAAAGCTGTTGGTTCTGAGGTAGAAGTTATGCTTTGTTGGAGACTTCTGGTCGCCTGGAAGTTTGCAATCAAAGAGAAGTCGGAGTCTGATGTGGTCGAGCGCAAGTGGTAGTGCCTCTGCTGCATTACTCAACTGTGATTCAGAGGCCATATGCAGGCATACGTATTGAAATGGGAATCCCTGGGAAGTCCCCAACAGAAGTCTTCCAGTTGTGTTCTGCCAAAGCAGAACAAATCCAAAGGGATCCAGAGTTCCTACTACAAAGATAGTGTGACTGAGACTCATGGCCTTTTCCTGCCACTTCTGTTGTTCCTACTTACCCATAGGATCCTTTGCAAGATAGCATGCTGGCAAGTCATGTCAGTATACACAAATTGCTTTACTACATTGTTAGCAAACATCAAAGTCTAAACTATTTATGAAATAGGTTTCGTTAAAGGCATATAGACGCCTTATCATAATAAATGAATCAGACTCTTCTAGTAAAGGAATACAGAATTAAACAGGGCTTTTCTTAGATATTAACAATTGTACATATACTGAAGACCAATAACACATTTTGAAATACAAATACACACTGACTCCCCATGGGTGTTATATGGTAAGAAAATAAAGTGTTTTAAAAATATGAACAAAATTCAACATTAGATACTGGATTATCCACTGATTATGCTAGATTTACTATAATTTGTGATTATACTAGACTTAGTATAATTTAGTGATTATACTAAAATGTTGACAGGCTCAAAGTTAAGGAGGTAATAGGTATAATACAGTGAAAACTAAAAATAAGGACAGAAGAGGACTTGGCAAAGAAGAATCAGAGCTCATATAATCACCTTAGTTGGAGAATTGTTGCAGATTCAGCATAAGTACAGGATCTAGGGAAATGAAATGGTACTTGAGTAAGATGGCTTATGTTTAGTACATTTGATGATTTCTTGCTAGTAAACTGACTAAACTATGTTACATTGTCATGTTCAGTCCAGCAGTGCCTGACATTTTAGGAAGAGTTTATTGTAGCCAGGCACAGTGGCTCATGCCTGTAATTCCAATAGTTTGGGAGGCTGAGGCGGGCAGATTGCTTGAGGTCACAAGTTTAAGACCAGCCTGGGCAATATGGTGAAACTCTGTCTCTACCAAAAATATTAGCTGCGAATGGTGGCACACACCTCTAGTCCCAGTTACTCGAGAGGCTGAGGCAGGAGGATCACTTGAGCCCAGGAGAGAGGTTGCAGTGAGCCGCGATCGTGCCACTGAACTCCAGCCTGGGTGACAGAGTGAGACTTTCTGTCAAAGTTTAGTGCATGTTAAACCATCTACCTATGTCACACTTGGGGATGGAGGGCATCTTAGGAATGTGGGGATGATGAGAACATTATATCAATTAAGTAGGCTGAGAAAAAATTGACAGCAGGGAGTGGCTATTAGAACAGCTTTTCTTAAGTGGGAAACTCCTCTGTCTCATCAGTCTTTGCTTGTTCTTTGAATTGCGACACCAGAGGAAGAAACCAAACATTTATCAGAGGTGAGGTAACACTACAGAGCAAAACCTAGCGGTGACTCCTTGTTTATCATTCAAGAGTTAACAATAGTCAAAGGACAAAAGGGACACCAAAGAACCCTTTACCTAGTTTCACTTATTACTCACATTTTGCTCCATTTGCCTTATCTGTAAAGATATTTTGAGTAGAAGAAATTCAGATGCTCCTAGATGCTTGAATGTTCTGTACAACATTTTACCTGAAAATCCCAAAGAGATGCTGTTCTATACCTTCCCATTACTTTCCTTTCCTTACTTTAACCCCAAGCCCCCTGGAAGCCTTATTTTTCTTTGCTGGACTAGCATGTCTCTTTCTTTTCTCTCTTGCTTTATAATGGAAACTACTCCTAGAAGCCTTTAGGATTCCAGCTTTATCCAAGGTCATTTCCTGAGTATGCCTCCCTCTTTTCAGACCTAACACACTTTGCTTATCTTTATCAAGCTCTCTACTCCATATGAGTCTCATTTCCACACCTTCTGTCTTCTTAGAGCCTTTTTCTTTCCCTAACAGTTCCATATGCTTGCTCAATTTTCACCCTCAGCCCCCACAAACCTCTCTCCACAGGCTGCCCCTCCCATCTGGAAGCCATCCTCCCCCAGTTACATTAGTATTTAAAAAAATCCTCATTCAGTCCACACTTCTGACCTAGTACTGTATCATTCTCTCTCCACTGAAAGCTGCAAATTTGCATTTTATCACGTCCACCCCAGCCCATATGGGGTCACCCCCTTCAATCCTCCGATATTTTCAGAAAAAGAGAGGATTCTGCTACAAGCGTTAGTCTGATATTAGTGGCTTTTCAGCTGAAAGTTTGGCTTTCTAGTGAAAGACTGCAGCAGATATTGAGAAGTGGATCATAGCTATTGTCAAGGAGAGAAAGTATTGCTGGAGATTCTAGAAGCCCATAACTTCCTTTTTCCTCCTGTGTGTTGAAATGTCAGGTAGAGTGTGAATTAGTGATGAACTGTGCTGAGAGGAAAGAATGCACAGAGAAAAGAGGGGACCAGTTACAGTTTGGATTACAATCTTTCAAATACTAATTAAAATGCTCCACCAACTAAAATTCTGGGGGCAATTATTGGTCTCAGAGTACTAATAATTTTCTTTGCTGGGACATATTCAAGATGTTACTTTTTGACCTTTCATCCTTGCCGTTGAATGATGCACTGAAAATATGGAGGGGTATGATATACCGACCCGAGTTACTGTCTATTCCTCTCCTTGAATAGTTGTTTAAATTTAGGTTCCGGCCGGGCGTGGTGGCTCACGCTCGTAATCCCAGCACTTTGGGAGGCCAAGGAGGGCAGATCATGAGGTCAGGAGATTGAGACCATCCTGGCTAACACGGTGAAACCCCGTCTCTACTAAAAATACAAAACATTAGCCGGGCGTGGTGGCGGGCGCCTGTAGTCCCAGCTACTTGGAAGGCTGAGGCAGAAGAACTGCGTGAACCCGGGAGGCGGAGCTTGCAGTGAGCGGAGATCGCGGCACTGCACTCCAGCTTGGGCGACAGAGCGAGACTCCGTCTCCAAAAAAAAAAAAAAAAAAAAAAAAACAGAGAAATGAGAAATTTAGGTTCTGCTCTGGCCATCAGTTTATTTCTCTGTAAAATGGGTACATTGGATTTTATTATCCCAAAAGATTGGTTTATTCCCTTTTTATATGTGCATGACCATTGTGAAAAATGTTAGAAAGTAGAGTGAGGAAACCTTTGATTGGTAGAGGAAACTGTTAAAATGGGATTAGAAACTTCTCGTTTCTGCCTGGAATTATTCAACTATAATAAAAAGAAAAAATTACTTACCACCCAAAACGATTATAAGTGCTTCTGCCTTCTCAGGGAAATTGCATAAAATAGTGTATGCATTGTTATTTTATTCTTATGGAGATTAGTTGAAATGATAAAAAGTAAGAAAATTTCAACGCCTCTTGCCATTAATTTGTGCTCTTTCGAGGGGCCTACAAGAGTCTGTTACTTGTCCCCTAACGAACTGTTTGGTATACAGTAGCAGGCTCTGAGCTGGGTAGGTGGTGGAGAACCAAGCTGTTCTGCATAATAAAATGAAGCGGAGTATGCTCTTAGGAGCCTAGGGAATGGAACCCAAGAAAATGGTGAAGCAGGGAGGTTTTGGAGGGCTGAGTAGCAAATTGGCACACAAACCTGTTACCTCAACCCTTCAGGAAAGTCTGTTCCACACAAATGCTTTAACAAGGTTTGAGTAGAAAGATAAGAACAGCTAGAGGAAGTTTGACCTAAGTAAGATTGGAGGTCATTGAAAGACAGAACCCAGCTGGAAGGGATTATCTGTTGGACTGGCAAATACTTATTTTAAGATAAGTATTGGAAATTTGGGAGAGTAGAATCAAGACACATAAATTGTCTTATTAGCCTAATTGTCTCTAGTTTATAAAGAAATTACCACCCATGGGGCACCTGTCGTATCTTCTGTTCTTGTGCTTAAAACTCTCAGGAAACTCCACATTTGTGAACTAATTTTCCCTTGAAATGTGGCAAAATCAGCTGCAAGGGCTTTATGTACCAACGTGTAAACTATGAGGACTAATTAAATACAATCCATGTAATACAGTATACTACAAAGGGAGGGATTTGAGTGTCATAATTTTTATCTATAACATATTCTTAATTAAATTTTACCGTGGTACTTTTGTCCAGCTGTAATGATAGAGTCACTGTAAGTGTTCTAATCTATCGCACACCCTCAAATATTTTTCAGTCCCTTAGAAACTTGGGAACTGTTTAGGGAGATAATCAATATTAAGTGGAATTATTGAGCTACTTGATAAGACAGTTTTTGAAAACAAACACTAACTTTTATTAAAAACATATTTACAGTTTAGTACAATGCTTGGCACATAGTAATTGTGCAATAGGTAATAGTTATCACCAATATTATGTTTACAGTTATTATTAAATACAAAATGTGATCCTTTTCACAAATATCATCTCATTAGCAGTGAATAATAGTACGTCAAGGTGAATACTATTATCCCAATTTTATAGAAAAGAAGTCTGAGTTTCAAATAAGTCAACTATTACTTAGTTACCTATATTTTAATAAATAGAAAATGGCAAAGTCGTGATTCAAACCCAAAGTACATGTTCCTTCCATTGTATAATTTTTAATTCAATTTTCCTATCACTGGAGATGAAGTACATAGACAAATATTTTATACACATACATCAATTTCAATGTACATAAGAATGATATTTATGACTAGTAATAACAGATTTCTGTTTCTAGCAGTGATTATAAAAATATTCTTAAAATATGTCAGAGTTAAATGGACATTAAACTTTTAAAAAAATGTCGCCTAATAGTAATACCACTCTGGGAAAAGTCACAAAGGAAATACTTAAATGGCTGAAGTTTAGAAAACACTTCAATGAATCACACTAACTGGGCTTCTCAAACTTTTATCTTCAGGAACTCATTGATGACATAGGGACTAGAGAAACCCACTCATACATTCACACAAAACATCTATAAAAATATTATTTAAAAGGTTGTCTACAAAATTGTTTGTATAAAAGAAATATTTTAAAATCCAGTAAAACTTCCTATGTACTCTAACATAATCATTCACTCTTCCCCCTCATTAGCTACTTCTTCCTGTATTCCCAGTTCAAGATTTCCCTTTGTTGAAAGGCTTCCTGATGCTGTCATGTATGGTCACGTTTATCTCAGACAAATCTCTGCACTCAGGGCCTGCTTAATGCCCTGCCTCATACATAACTCCATGCATCTGAGTGCAGTTGTTATCTGAGCACCTTAGGGGCTTAATGTCCCAATGTTGAGTATTATTTAGGACATCACACTCCAAGAGGAAATGCCCTGGCAGTGTGTATAAATCTCTTCCCCACCCCTTACCTGTTTTCCTGTCTGTGGTAGCTTTCTGAAATGGCTCCCAGTAATCTCCATGGCCTGGTACTCATGGCCTCCCCTTCAGTGTGGGCTGGACCTAGCTTGTTTCTAATGGATAGAGTCCGACAAAAGTTATTACTTTTGTAGTTAGGTTACAAGAGACTGCACCTTTGATCTTGCTAGACTCTCTTCTCTTTGACTTCTCCACTTGCATGCTTGGATGAAGCAAGCTGCAATGTTGGAGGGAACCCCCTGGAAAGGAGAGGGGGTGGCCTTCAGCCAAAAGCCCACAAGGAATTGAGTTCCTCAGTGTAACACCCAAAATGAATGGAATCCTGCCAATAACCACATGAGTGGTCTTGAGTGGATTCCTCCTCAGTTGAGGCTTAGACATTGGAGGCCCAGTGCATACCTAGATTGCAGCCTGTGGGATATCCTGAAACAAAAGATTCTGCTGAGCTGGATCTAGATTCCCAAACTATAGAAACTCAGAGAAAGTAAATGTCGTTATTTCAAGCTACTAAGTTTGAGGATAACTTGTTATACAGCAACAGATAACTAATACACTGTCTTACTAAATTAGTTGTTTTAAGAAGGCCACAGTCTGGACTTTCTCTGTATACATGGCTGTATTGTACTCACTCAGGGAGAATTTGCCATCATATGTGTGACACTGATCTTTAACTTCCTTCAAGTTATTACCCACCTCTAAAGCTACCACACCCCCTATTATTTCTGATGGAAACTCTGTGTGTTTTTTCTTTTCACATTTACTTATGAATAAGTTCTATCAGCTACAGTGAGGTTTCTGTCACTTATTTCCTTTGCTTTTCATAGCCCCTCTTCTGCTAAGCCCTCTGTTGCCTATGAAGCTAAACAAGAATTTCTCAGCCCTGCCTCTGGTAAAAAATAATTCAGCTGGCTCACTCCAGGAATTTCTGCCCTCTATGGGCACTAACAGATTCTGGAGCCCTCAAAGTGTTCAGACAACTTAGGAGAGTGTCTGGAGTCCTTGATAAGCTGAAACGACTCTAAGTCCTTGGCTGAGACAAGGAAGAAAGAAAGTTGTATTCCCCATTTATACTTTAAACTTTTCTTCTTTTATTATATAAGTATTTAATTCTGTAAATATTGGTCTAAGAAACTGCCTTAGTTGTGTCTCACAAATTGTAATATATTATGTTTTTCATCATTTTTCAATCTAAAGTATTTTCTAATATCCTTTATGGTTCTCTTGTGATCTATGGGTTACTCAGAAGTATAGTATTTAATTTTCAATTTGGGGGAAATTTTCTAAATATATTTATATTATTGATTTCTAACAATTCTATTATTGTCACAGAACTATTCTGTATGAGTTTGATTCCTTAAATCTATTGAATATTCAAATTATACTATAAAGTAATTGTAATTAAACAGCATGGTACTGGCATATAAATAGACATACTGACAAATTCAATAGCATAGAGATTCCAGAAATGAACTCATGCATGTACATTCAATTGATTTTTCTCCCCTCAGGTCTCACAATCTGTTTTCATGTTTAACTTTTGACAAAGGTGTCAAGAATACACAATGGGAAAAGGACAATCTCTACAATAAATGGTGTTGGGATAACTGGATATCCATAGGCAGAAGAATGAAATTGTAACCCTATCTCACTCTATATACAAAAATTAACTCAAAATGGATTAAAGACTTAAACAAGAGACCTGAAGCTATAGTACTACTAGAAGAAAACAGTGGAAAACTCCAGCCATATTTAACTGGGCAATGAGTTTGTTAGATTTGACTCCAAAAGCACAGACAACATAAACAAAAATAGTTAAGTGGGATTACATCAAATTAAAAAGCTTCTGCACAACAAAAGAAACAACAGAGTAAAAAGACAGCCCAGGAATTGGGAGAAAATATGTGTAAGCTACACATCTGATATGAGATTAATATATGAAAAAATTAAAAAACACTTAACTCTATAGAAAGAAAACAATCTGATTAAAAGATGGGCAAGAGATCTGAATAGATGTTTCTCAAAAGAAGACATACAAATGGCTAGCAGATGTATGAACAAATGCTCAACATGACTAATCATTAGGGAAATGCGAATCAAAACCACAAACCACAATGAGATATCACCCAACACCTGTGAGAATGGCCATTGTGAAAAAGACAAAAGATAACAAGTACTGATGGGGATGAGGAGAAAAGGGAACCTTCGTACATTGTTGGTGGGAATGTAAATTAATACAGCCATTATGGAAAATGTATGGAGCTTTCTCACAAAACTAAAATAGAACTACCATACAATACAGCTATTTCACTTCTGGGTATTTTACCCCAAAGATTTGGAATCAGTATGTCAAAGAGATGTCTGCATGCTTACATTCATTGCAACACTGTTCACAATAGCCGAGTTATAGAACCAACTTGTGTCCCTCAACAGATTAATAGGTAAAGAAGATGTGGTATATATACACAATGGAATGCTATTTGGCTTTTTAAAAACAGAAATTATGCCATTTGCAATAATACAGATGGAATTGGAGAGCATTCTGCTAAGTGAAATAGACCAGGCACAGAAAGACAAATATCTCATGTTCTCACTTACATGTGGAACCTAAAACAATCAAACTCATAGAGGCAGAGAGTAGAAGGGTAATTACCAGAGGCTGGAGGTTGGGGGAAATGAGGGAATGATGGTCAATGTACAAAGTCTCAGTTACACAGGAGGAATAGGTTTGTTTCTTTTTAAATCTATTGCACAGCAACCCTGTGTCCTAGTAACTTAGAAGAAATGAACAAATTGGTTTTTCAGTTTTCTCTTCTCCTTAGAATGAGACATAGGTTCATAGGAATTTAGCTGGAAGGCAATTCCAACTTACAAACACCAAGTTATACTCAGAGTGACTTCTCTGGTTGATAACAATGGCTCTGTTTAACCATTCGGTCTGCCCGTCCTTTCTTTAGAATAAGTGTCCACCCCAAAGAGTCCCTGAATCCTTATGTAAATAGGCTCCTGGCAGGCCAATGCCATCAGACTGCCAGACCAGCCCAAACATGCCTGCATGTAAGCACTGAATATGGCTCAGATTTAAGAGTTCCAATCTCATCAGCAAACCTGCAGTTATGAGATCCTCTTACCCTTGATCATATTGTAAGTATAATAAAACTGACCCATCTTTCTTCCCACTGTATTTTGCAGTTGCTAACACTTGCTGTTGCATATGGATAAATATGTTGAGTATTGTAAAGACTCTTCAGAAAAGTAATGTACAGGTTACTTGCTCAGGTGGATTTCTTGTTGGCCTCATTCTTTGATCTGTTCCATATTAGCTGGTTTGACTCATGGGGACCTTGGTTAAGGAACATACATACTCCAAACTCAGTATTATCCTCCTGGCAGTCATAATAGTATTCTTCCTGATGTATTATATCTTCTCAAAAGTTTTAATTGCCTGCATGCAGTCATTTGCTTAATGCCAAATGGTCTCCCTTTGTCTAGAGTGATAAAAACTCAAGCGAGTAGTAACAAAGACTCTGTAACCTCTGACATGTTGTGACTGAAAAACAAAAAATGATGGTAACTGGCAATAGCACTGATGCTATAAGTTTTGGTCACACTCTTAACTAGGTGAGATCTGAGCAAAAGGAGAATATTGTTAAACAAAATGTGTGGGAGGCCATAGTTTTGTACTCAGCTCCTGCACCGTGTCCCAACAGACCAAAATGGAGTCACTCACCAAACGAAAATTAAGTCATTTATTTGGCCTTCTGAAAAATCAGGAAGAGAAATAGAGAAAGAGAGATAATAGCAAAATCTACTTTCTCACCGTGTTCTAGCTGGCATGATAAGAAAGTCCCCTCTGCTTTATCCCTATAAGGAAAGAAACTTTGAAATTGTCAATCCATTTTATGTTCTTTATTTTGGCTTTATTGAGCCACTTTCTGTCCATAAAGCCCACCTTTTCTAATGAACTCATTAGAGCACTTATTCTGTATTATTCTATATTATAGAATAACTGCTGCCCAATTCTAGATTCACTAAAAAAAGCCAATTAGATCTTTAAACTAAAAATTTGTTAAAACCATGTTTTGACAGTATATTTAAGGAAGCACTCCTTGTTTTCTCTAGAAATTTGTGTTTAAGGGATTGCCAAGTTTCATGTTTCTACCCAATATGTGTCTTAGAGAAAATATCCCACCAAAAACATGATTCTTAAATGTTAGCAGGATAAATAATCAGATGGTCAGCTATTAAAGATTCATATTCAGGTAGTCTGTTTTTCTAATATAGAATCAAATATGACATTGAATTATTTCATTTCCTACAGTTAAAGAGAAATTTGATTTTCTGTTTTTAACTGGGATTCTTTTTGGGGGAGCATGAAATGATTCTAGGAGTTTTACTCAAAGTAGGCCTTTTGGGGAGAGCACTGTGTTTTGCGATCCGCATATGATGTTTTCATTTCCTAAACCTATATGGTCCCTGGAGGGAGGTGTCTGTATTGCTTTTGTGCCACACCTGGGCAGAAATACCTTTGTCATACATAGAGGCTGAACTTCTACTGCTAACCCTCTGGAGATGCACCAGGCAGCCAGCTCTGTCCCAGGATTTTCTACCTCCCCAAGGCTCTGCCAAAATGTAGGGCAAACATCCCCAGATTTTGCAGGGCTTTTTTCCTCTCCTGACTTGGGAAATCTATTCTGCCTCTGTTCTCTCCTGTTCTCTTCAAGAACTTGCCTTCCTCCTCAAAGGCATTACATGATTTCCCACCTTCCTCAGGAATAAATGTTGACGTGGTCATGATAAGTTCCCTGCAACAGCATCAACCCTGTGCTATAAGGACATGAATATCTGTCTATCTTCTTGAAACAGAGGACTGCAGATTACAAAAAAGAAACATATACACCTCACACAAATGAATGTCTCAATAATTTACTCTGACAAACATAATTTTTTGCCTAAATTCACTCAGCTTCTGAGAGGTCTCATACTCAGTTACTATATTTTCTCAATAATTATAACTATTTGTAATACCTAATAACTATTATTTTGAAGTCAATATTATTTTGACGTTTATAATATGTGTGTTTACAGCTTGCTGCACTTCTCAAAGAAACTGAATTTCATTTGCTCGGTGTGAATAGATCCTGAAGGAGAATGACAGGAGGGGTAATTTTATAAGAAATTAAAATGTATCCCTCTGATGATTTTGGCAAAAGAGCCAAAAGATCTCCTAATATGGCAAGATTTTTATTTCAGCAAATATGAATTGAGTGTCTACTATAGGTGCAATACATAGCACACTATTTTCAGTACTGTAGGTGAATTCAAAGATGCTCTCTACCTTTCATTGGCTTGCATTCTGACAGACTGCTATACCGTGTTACATCTGCCTCCTGCTCTCCAACTTTACACCACTCTCTCTCCTCTCTCGCCTCTTCCACTCTCTCTCTTCATGGACCGTCTCCTGGCATCTCTGCTTCATTCTGCCTACCTGCTCAATTCTTTCCTCTGCTGACAGTTTTTCTCATCTTAGTCTGAGTTTCTTTGCTTTATAACTAGACCCATAGTTAGCCTCCTGGCCTCTTTCTAGCTACTGCTCACTTTAATTCTCATTCTTAACTGCTTCCATCTTTCAGATATATCATTTAAAACTCTCATCAAAGTGCATGAACTCATGTGTCCTTCACAATAGTGTCCCACTGTAGGCCAGGCAGCTGATATTATTTACATACTGCAGATACATTCATTAAGGTACAGACAGATAATATTTATGGCCATATCTTAGTAGGAGAAAATGAGTAATATAGCAAAGACCTCCAAACCCTCAATATTTAGTTCTTTTTAATTTGCTATATTGCATTTCAGAACACTTTCTGTGCTTGCAGTGTAGCCCTTCACCATATATAAGATTGTGCTGTTCAAGGCCACCTAGATTGTTTTAACCATTCAGCCTCTTGGGGTCAGGGACTACATCTCACTAATCTCTCATCTGTCAGGGCAGCACATTCTTAGGACAGAATAGCTGCTCCATAAATAGCTGATGATACAATCCCAAAATAATGCACTGGCAAAAAGTAGTGCACTGGGGTTGGACGTGCAAGGCAAGCAGAGAAGGATGGAAGCACAATGAAGGAGGAGGTTCCCTTGGCAATCCTGTCAGTTGGGTCTGCACATTTTGTAACATTTCTACACTGATGAAATGTGATGGATGTTGCAAATTATAGACTAATACTGCATCTCTCTCTACTTACCTGCGTGGCATTTTAGGTTGTGGACTTCATTCAATGAAGATAGAAATGAAATTCTAACTATGGAAGGGAAAACTCATTTCCCCCCCAGAGACAGATGGATATGACCTTTAACACTGATATTAAAAAACATAGAGATTCTTCCCCAACATATATATAGCTGCCCTTTGAGTCTAGGAAAGGTTATCACTTTTTCTTCCGTGCCTCTCCCTGCTTCTCTGTTTTACTTATGTTGCTCTTAAGGTGTGATGCAGAGAACCTTAGTTTGAAGGGAATGCTGTAGCTTATTATGTAAATCACATGGCCATAGCTTTTATCCCTGTGAAACAGTTCATAGTTTGCCTAGGCTACTTTTTACTTCAGAAAGAACTCATGTATCACCGTCTCCTTATGCAGCCTCATGAAAGTTAATACTGGCCTTCTCCTTGCTGCAAAGAGACATATTGAAGATTGATCTTTATAAGAATTGAACTCTTTTGAGTTAGTTTTCACCAATGAAAATGTTGCTATTATGCCCCATTTATGTATGGGACAAGGAGAGTAGATTGATTGCCTGATTTCTTCAAGTTATACATTTAAGAAATATAAAGTTATCAAACACAGAGAGAAAGGATAAGTCCACAGAAACTGTCTCTCAACCGAACAGGTGGTCTGCATTATTCAATTTTTTAAAAATAAAAAATAGTTTCTGCATTTGTACAGAGAGTTTCTGCTTTTATTTGTTTACTTTAAGATTAATAGCACACCACAATGTTCTCTCCATGTCTGCCTGACATTGTACATAATTTTACTTCCCATAGAATCCTATTCCAAACGCACCTATGTCCCAAATCCATCCCATCTCCTTTTATTGAGAAGGTGGCATGTAGAAAGAAAAACAAGGGCCCAGAGTCTCAGGCTGGCCACAACAGTGACAAACTCTGAGCCCCAATTTTTTTGCTACATCAGCAAAATAGAGATTTAATAAAGCATTAGGTCTTTATTTGACAGGGTTGTAACCAGTGAGATAAGGCTAGGGAGGAACTGATAAATTAGAAAAGACTTTATAAGTCTAGTTATTATTTTCATTATTGTTCCTTTGCTTGTTAGATTGTCCCTGGCCTTAATATAGTACTCTGTTTTCACAATATTAATATATCTATTTGCAAATTGCTTTCTAAACCTTCCCAAGCCCTTTTCATGACTATAAACTTTCCAAGGACAGGAGTATAAATTTTCTTTCTTTTATATTCAGCACCTCCTGCTTCCATACTAGTGCATCAGTAAATGATACCACCTTGAATGTGAAGTCCTCTAAGAAGCAAGTGATGGAAAATGACTTTGGATCATCAGCAGACTATGACTGCAGCAATCTAGAAAGTGTGACTCAGAAGAGTGAGAGCAGAAACTGGGTTGTAAACTATAGCAGACTCAAAATGAAGCCTCAGAGCAAATGCTTCTTGGTATTAGCAATAGACTTTGGGAGTAAAAAGGCAAGGGGGAGCGGGGTGGAAAAAACTGTAGTCTTAGGATAAAAGCATGTGAACTCCAAAACTTCACAAACAGAGAGTTCCGGCTCCAGCAGGAGCCCTGATCTTTCTTCTCTATGAGATTTATCTTTCTCTTGGGCACTTTACTGGGAATCCATTGCCACTGGTTTTTCCCTAAGGGACATTGCTCTCTCTCTCTCTCTTAAAAACTCAGGCCTAAATGCAGACAAAATCCTCTTCACAGTTAAGAACAACAGAATGTCAAGAGGTTTGTCGAAAGCAACAAAAGATCAATTTAAAAATGCAAGAAATTTTAAGCCAGTGCATTTTACAAAGCTTTGATTTCTAGCCATGAGAGGTGCCAACTTTCTAAGGTTTATAGCTTGGTGTAGTTGTGAACAGATAGTTTTCTTTACTTTTTCCACCAACAGCAGCCACAAGTTTATAAGCATCTTGACTCACTTTTTTGGTTCTAAAATACCAATCTGACTCCATAGGGAGGTCTAAAATACCAATCTGACTCCATCTTACCTTCCTGTTGGTCTCTATTTGGTTATAATCTTTGGACTCAGAAGGCTGGGAAGGTGGGAGGGGGTGAGGGATGAGAAATTACTTAAATTACTTAATAGGTACAATGTACATTATTTAGGCACTTGTTACACGAAGAGCCAAGACTTCAATGCTACACAATATAACAATATAACCATGTAACAAAATTGCACTTGTACCTCTTAAATTTATACACATTTAAAAAAGACTAACTAACCTACCTTAAGTAACTTTCTGCATCTTCACCCATCCCTCAGGACCCTTTTTGTAAGATTTTAATTCCAGGAGAGAAACCTTCTCCATGCTATTGCCATAGCCTGTGCTTGACTTTCCACACATTTTACAAATAAAAAATAACTTGTTCTGTTGCATAAGGACATCTCATTTTTGCAATAAAAATTACATCCACACAGCATGAATTATGCACATACAGAAATAAGGCTTTTTTCCTTCACATCAAATAAAAGAGATACTTACCTTTTGAAAAGTCCTACATTAATTTTCAAGCAAACCCTGGATTTGAGGATTTGGGTTTCTATGTTTTTCACTTCAATCCCCATAGCCTACAATAAGGTAATTACTAGTTATTGTTTCATTGTTGCTGTATCTAGGACCTGCCTATGCTGCTATTGCTAGCATGTTAAGTGAGGAGTCATTTGCTTTCTTCGAGTCTATAGAAACTTAAATGTGGCAAAAATTAGTACCTGGTTGAAACTCTCTGATGTGTTCAAGAACTGAAAGAAAACTGAGACAAGAAAGCCTCTTGGAAAAACATGGGACAGTTTTCTCTAATAGTAACAATTTTAAAAATTATGATTTCACAACCAAAATATATCCAAATCTTATTCAGACTTCCCCAGTTATATCTGCAGTTGGGTATGTGTATGTATTAAGTACTATCAAATTTTGACATCTATGAAGACTTGTGTATCCATCACCACCACAGTCAAGTCACCGCAGTTCCAACACCCAAAAGACCCCTTGTGTTGCCCTTTTAAGATCCACACCTCCCTCCCTCCTGTGCCCTGTCTCCTGTCCCTAAACCCCAGTAACCATTAATCTATGCTTGCTTTAAAAAATGGTACTGGATAAAGAAAATGTGGCACATATACACAATGGAATACTATGCAGCCATAAAAAAGAATGAGTTCATGTCCTTTGCAGGGACATGGATGAAGCTGGAAGCCATCATTCTCAGAAAACTAACACAGGAACAGAAAACCAAACACCATATGTTCTCACTCATAAGTGGGAGTTGAACAATGAGAACACATGGACACAGGGAGGGGAACATCACACATCAGGGTCTGTCAGGGGGAGGGGGACAAGGGGAGACAGAGCATTAGGACAAACACTTAATGCATGCGGGACTTAAAAGCTAGATGATGGGTTGATGGGTGCAGCAAACCACCATGGCACATGTATACCTATGTAACAAACCTGCATGTTCTGCACATGTATCCCAGAACTTAAAGTAAAATTTAAAAAAATTGGTATCATTTGAAAAATGTCATAAAATGGAATCATACAGTCTATCACTTTTTGAGATGGGATTTTTTTTTTTTTTTTTTTTTGAGATGGAGTCTTGCTCTGTCGCCCAGGCTGGAGTGCAGTGGCATGATCTCAGCTCACTGCAAGCTTCTCCCCTCCTCGGGTTCACGCCATTCTCCTGCCTCAACCTCCCGAATAGCTGGAACTACGGGTGCCCACCACCACGCCCGGCTAATTTTTTGTATTTTTAGTAGAGACAAGGTTTCACTGTGTTAGCCACGATGGTCTCGATCTCCTGACCTTGTGATCCACCCACCTCGGCCTCCCAAAGTGCTGGGATTACAGGCATGAGGATTTTTTTTTTTTTACTTAGCATAAATTCCTAGAAATCCTTTCAAGTTCTTGCTTTCCCCAACAGGTCATTCCGTTTTGTTGATGTATTTGATGATATGACCCACAATTTCTTTAAACATTCATCTATTACAGAGTATCTAGATGGGTTCCAGTTTTTGGCTATAAGAAAGAAAGCTGTTTTGAATATTTTTGTGGGTCTTTTTGTGAAAATAAAGTTTTCATTTCTCTAGGATAGATGCCCAAACATGCAATTGCTGGGTCATATGGTAATTTCATGCTTAGTTTTATAAGAAACTGTCAAGCTGATTTCTGGAATGGCTGTTCAATTTTAAATTATCCTCCATGATATAGGAGTGATCCAGTTTTTCTGAATCCCTGCCAGCATTTGGAATTGTCACTACTTTTTGTCTTAGCCATTCTGATAGTTGTGTAGTGATATATCATTGTGCTTTTAATTTGTGTTTCTGTGATGGCTGAACACAGCTAATGATGTTGAATATCTTTTCATGTGCTTATATGGAATCTGATTTAATCCATTCTCACACTGCTAATAACGACATAAGTGGGACTGGGTAATTTATAAAGGAAAGAAGTTTAATTGACTCACAGTTCAGCATAACTATGGAGGCCTCAGGAAGCTTACAATCATGACAGAAGGGGAAGCAGACACGTCTTTCTTAACATGGTGGCAGCAAGGAGAAGTGCCCAGTAAAAGAGGGAAAAGCCCCTTATAAAACCATCAGATCTCATGAGAACTCACGCACTATCCCAAGAATAGCATGAGGGTAACTGCCCCCATGATTCAATTACCTTCCACCAGGTCCCTCCCGCAACACATGGGGATTATGGGAACTATAATTCAAGATGAGATTTGGGTAGGGACAGAGCCAAACCATATAATTCTGCCCTGACCCCTCCCAAATCTCATGTTCTCACATTTCAGAACACAATCATGCCCTTCCAACAGTCCCCCAACATCTTAACTCATTCAAGCATTAGCTCAAACATCCAAGACTCATCTGAGACAAGGCAAGTCCCTTCTGCCTATGAGCTTGTAAAATCAAAAGCAATTTAGTTACTTCCTAGATACAATGAGGTACACGCATTGGGTAAATACACCTGTTCCAAATGGGAGAAATTGGCCAAAACAAAGAGGCTACAGGCCCCATGTACGTCTGAAAGGCAAGAGGGTAGTCATTAATCCATAAAACTCCAAAATAATCTCCTTTGGCTCCATGTTTCACATCCACGTCTCACTGATGCAAGAGGGGGATTCCTATGGCCTTGGGTAGCTCTGCTCCTATGGCTTTGCAGGGTACAGCCCCCCTACCATGTTCCTTCACAGCTGGCATTGAGTTTCTGTGGCTTTTCCAGTGCACAGTGCAAGCTGTTGGGGGAATCTACCATTCTGGGGTCTACAGGATGGTGGCCCTCTTCTCACAGCTCCACTAGGCAGTGACCCAGTGGGGACTCTGTGTAGGAGCTCCAACCCTATATTTCCCTTCTGCACTGCTCTAGCTGAGGTTCTCCATGAGGGCTCCACCCCTGCAGCAAACTTCTGCCTGGACATCCAGGCATTTCTATACATCCTCTGAAATCTAGGCCAAGCTTCCCCAACCTCAATTCTTGACTTCTGTGCACCCACAGGCTTCAACACCACATGGAAGCTGTAAAGGCTTGGAGCTTGCAACATCAGAAGCCATGGCCTGAGCTGTACCTTGGCCCCTTTTAGCCATGGCTGGAGCTGAAGCAGCTGGGATGCTGGGAACTATGTCTTGAAGCTATGCAGAGCAGGGGGGCCCTGTGCCTGGCAGTGGGGGGCCTGGGCCTGGCCCATGAAACCATTTTTCCCTCCTAAGCCTCTGGGACTGTGATGGGAGGGGCTGCTGTGAAGGTCTCTGACAAAATGTCTGGAGACATTTTCCCCATTGTCTTGGGGTTTAACATTCGGCTCTTTGTTGCTTATGCAAATTTCTGCAGCAGGCTTGAATTTCTCCTCAGGAAATGGGTTTTTCTTTTCTATTGCATCATAAGTCTGCAAACTTTCCAAATTTTTATGCTCTGCTTCCTCTTGAATGCTTTGGGTTTGTCACTTAGAAATTTGTTTTGCCAGATACCCTAAATGATCTCTCTCAAGTTCAAAGATTCACAGGGACTTTGGGACAGGACAGGAACAAAATGCTGCCAGTCTCTTTGCTAAAGCATAACAAGAGTCACCTTAGCTCCAGTCCCCAACAATTTCTTCATCTCCATCTGAGATTACCTCATTCTGGACTTTGTTGTCCATATCACTATCAGCATTTCGGTCAAAGCCATTCAATAAATACCTAGTAAGTTCCAAATTTTCCCACATCTTCCTGTCTTCTGAACTTTCCAAGTCTCTAAGGAGTTTCAAACTTTCCCACATTTTTCTGTCTCTTCTGAGCCCTCCAAACAGTTCCAACCTTGGACTGTTACCCAGTTCCAAAGCTGCTTGCACATTTTCAGGTTTCTTTATATCAGCACCCTACTTCTGGTACCAACTTACTGTATTGGTCCATTCTCACATTGCTAATAAAGACATTCCCAAACCTAGGTAATTTGTAAAGGAAAGAGGTTTAATTGACTCACAGTTCAGCATGGCTGGGGAGGCCTCAGGAAACTTACAATAATGGAGAAAGTAGAAGCAAACATGTCTTTCTTTACATGGCAGCAGGAAGGAAAAGTGCCAAACAAAAGCAGGGAAAAGCCCCTCATAAAACCGTCAGATCTCATGAGAAGTTGCTCACTATCATGATAACAGCATGAGGGTAACTGTCCCCATGATTAAATTACCTCCCATCAGGTTCTTCCCATGACACATAGGGATTATGGGAATTACAATTCAGGATGAGATTTGGGTGGGGACACACCCAAACCATATAATTATCTGTATATTCTCTTCTGCACATCTTCAACAAAAGGTATTTTGCTCATTTTACAATTGAAATGCTTGTTTCTTTGTTATGTATTTAACTGTTGGGTACTAACGACTAGTTATTTACATATTTTAAATTCTAGTCATTTGTTAGATATATGGTTTGCAAACATTTCTCCCATGTGTAGTTTGGGTTTTCATCTTTTTCCCATGGGCTTTCAGAGAGGAAATGTTTTTATTCTGATGAGATCCAATTTATATTTTTTTACTTTTATGGATTCTACTTTTGGTGCCTCGTATAACAATCTTTGATTAGCCCTTCATTCTAAAGATTTTTCTCCAATTTTTTCCTAAAATTTTTGTTGAATTATATTTTATATCTAATTTGGTGATTCATTTGAATTAATTTTATGTAAAAAAGTGAGATATCATTGTTGATACTTTTATTTGTCTATGGATATTTCATAGTTCCAGCACCTTTTGTTGAAAAGGCTATCCTTCCTCCACTGAGTTAGTTTTTTACCTTTATAAAAAATCATTTGAGTGTATTTGTGTGGGTCTGTTTTTTAGTACACTATGTGTTCAGTAGACCTATGTGTCTATTCCTCTGTCAATACCATACTGTCTTGGTTACCATAGGTATATACTAAGCCTGAATATTGAGTTTATTCTACTTTGCCAAGCTTTCTTTAGCTATTCTATGACCTGTGTCTTAGAATAAGCTTATGTTTACTAAAATACCTTGTTGAGATTTTGATAGGCAGTGAATTAAACTTATAAATAAATTTGGGGAGAAATGACATTTTCATCATGTTGAGTCTGCCAATCCATACACTTTTTATGTGTTTCCATTTATTTAGGTCTTTGATTTTTCTCATCAGTATTTTGTAATTTTTAGCAAACAAATCCTATGCATATTTTGTTAACTATATACAAAATTATTTCATTTTATTCAGAGAAATTATAATTGTCATTGTATTTTAAATTTCGGTTTCTGTATATTCGTTGTTAGTATACAGAACTGTAATTGATTTTTGTGTGCTAAACTTGTATCCTCCCACCTTATTGAATTTATTTACTAGTTTAAGAGCTTTTGTAAACTCTTTGGGATTTCCTATGTAGAAAATCATGGCAATGCAAATGGAAATAATTTAATTTTTTTTTCTAATCTGCATGCCTATTTAGAGCTTCCAGAACTATATTGAAGAAGACTAGTGAGAATGAACATTTGTATCTAACTAACAGTTCTAAAAACACACTGCAAAACAAGATACTTTCAGAGAAACAGGTCTTGGCTTGGTCCAGCTTATTGGAAGAGCCTGGACTGTCTAATGTGGATAACTATAACAAATATAAAAGTCTTCCTCAACATTTGAGAACTAATTTTTGGAAAAAAATGATAATAGCCTTATGTTGCTACATGACACTGAGCAAGATTAAAAAAAAAAACCTGCAAAAGGAAGATTTGGGCTAAGAAGAAGAGAGCACTCTAGTAAGAATACTCTCTGACATTGGTAAAGATGTCTGACAGAGGATTTGTTCTCTTTTTAAAAGATATTTAAAACAGAGGCAAGATTGTTTTCTATGAAAGAGGGCTGAGTAGAAAGTGTGTTCCTCCCTGAGTCTCAGGTGGCTTCTAAGGACCTTTTTCATTCTCCATTCCGGTATGCTAGGATTCTATGATTGCCTCCTTCTAAAAAACACATGTTTCTTTTGTGATTACTAAATCAAGTCTTTTTGTGCATGCATGATTCGGGGCATAGGAAAAGTTCTCAGTTCATAAATCTAATAGATAATGGATGGCTGTGGTTATAATAACCCAAGTATCACTATGGCATGAAGAAAATACAATTTTAAATAGGCTTGATGGATAGTAAGTGTAGTAATTAAACCTTAATCACTTTTTAAATAAATTGTGTTTTTTTTTCTATTTTAAATACACACTGTCCATTTTTCTCTGCTCTATCTTTGTAATTTCTCCCCAAAGCAGTGTAAGTGATATTTTGAGTTATTCACAAATAATTCTTGCTTCCTTGGACTTGGTTCTCATGATTATAATTACCTGCTTTGTATCGTTTGGGTACAGAGTTAACAAAAATGGCATAAAAAGAATAGGAGGAGAAATAAGGATGAAGTGTGAAGCCAGGACTAGATTGAGCAAAGGAGTCATCCAGGACGTAAGTGTAAGAAACCACTTACCCTCAGAAAATGCAAGTGCTAGTTTGGCACCAGAGAGTGAGTACCTCCTAAAGTGCTGTTCCCTGGACATCTAGCTTGTTGCAACTTAGTCCAGGCCCCAGGCTTCTGACTCATCCTTAAGTAACACAAGCAGAAAAATGTCAGCTAAGCAAGGAATTTCCCATCAATAGTTAGTAGAAAATTTTATTTCTAGTATCATCAAACTTCAATGCACCAAAAGAAAAAGATTAATTTGTAGAACATAATGTTCATGCAGCTTTATTTTTTCTACAGTGATTTCTTATACAGTGCCTTGTCTTTTTCTTTCATGACTTCAAACTTTTCATATTAAATGATATAAATCATAACTTTTGTAGGTTGAAAAATTTAATATCGGATATTCTATGTGGTTGGTTCAATCTATTACTATATGGTATAGTGGAACAAATGTGAGCTGAGGAGCCATCTCTGTTACAATTCTGAGTATGTCATTTAGCAGCTCCGGGTGCTGGAAAATGACCCGTCACTTTGGTTTTCTGATTTGTAAAATGAGATTAGAGTTATCTTTCAGGACTGTTTTGATTATTAAATAGGAAGACATAGCTATACTACTACTAATAATTATTATTATCTGCTAGACTTGATTATTGAAGAAATGCCAGGCTAGAAGTCCAAAGCAGTTATGGCAGTACAAGTATTAGGGCAGAAGTACGGTGACTATTCTATGGTGCCCTAGATTAGAGATTTCCAAACCAGTCTGAGTATCAGATTCTGACACAGTTAGTGTAGATTGTAACTTAATTAACTGTATTTTTAATAACCTCCACAGGGATTGAAATGTGCTGACACATTTGCCAGGCTTCCCTAGATAGCAACAAAGATCCCTTTTGACTCTAAGTCTTATAATTGTTTATCAGATTCTGATTTTAGAATTTTTTTTCTTTCTCAACAACCACTCAAGATTCCTTTACTTTATTCTGTAATTTCCTCTCAGAGAAGGCCCCAGGCTAACTTGATGTGTGCCTTCCTTGCGTGCACAGGGGAAGCCTTTTGTTCTAGCATTATCCTGTGAATCTGCCAGTGTTGCTGTGCATTTCATGGAGGACAACTTTTTAATTAAAAAAAAAAGTCAAACAAGATTACTTCGTTTTCTCCTTTAAAAGGCATCGTTGTCAGGTCCCATGAAATCCCTTTTCTCTTTACCTCTCTTTCTTTAAGGTATTTAAGTTCAGCAACATCCTTTGTGTCAACTTATGGATAAAAAAGATGTTTCTTGGTCTGCTTCTATTGTCTGTGACTGCCATGGTAAAACAATCCATGCCAATAGCCCAGCCTGCTGAGCTGCCACTGATAAGACCTCCCCTCCCCTTTCCTTGGTCTGGCATCTTGTTCAGATAATACAGCAAAAGCTCTTATTACTCTCTGGGGATCAACTTGAGTGTCATCTTGGTGGCTCACAGCCAGCATTCTGGCTTGTGGACAGACAGGGGTCCTTTGGCACAAGCCAGAGTGTATTTATCACTGAGTGTCTGGGGATCTTACCCCTTGTGTAGTAAAAACCTATATGGTACCTTCCTCCTGACAGCCTGAATTTTATTCCACCACATATACTTATCTAGATTAAATCTAGCTCATTCTAGAAAAAAGAAGCTTTCAAGGGAGTTGTTGGTATTTTAGGACTAAATATGAAAGATAAAATGCAGCTTTTCCATGTTATAGCAGAAATATAACTTTCACATAATTGAGGTTATTACTTCATTCGTATAACATTGTCATTCAAACAATAGACTCTCAGCTGCAGAGAAACAGGAAGAGTCTTAGAAGTCATTAATTCTAACATCCACTCTATTGGGAATTCTTTACAAAAACTACCTGATAGGTTTTCATCAAAGCCTCTGAAGTTTTCCACTGATTTGAAGCTCACTGCATTACATGGCAACCTATTTAGCTTGGAAATTCCCTATTTTTTTAATAAAGTATTTTGAAATATTAACCATCCTCTCTAATATCTAACAATTTATCTTATTTACACTCTAAAAAAGTACACATAATAAATTTATTTTTTCTCTATGGAAGTTCTTCAAATATTAAGTTACAGGTATATCTGCCATTTCTTCCCTTCTTCAGTTAAAATAACCCTGATTCTCTAGCCTTTGCTTATCAGAGTGTTAAACACACATATAATTCTGCTCACCTTCTTTTTAAATTACCTAGGATCTTTTAAGTGCTCAAATGCATAAATGGTCTGACCAGGTGAGGCTACAGTGAAATTATACCCTTTCTTACAGTAGATACTATACTTTATTAACACAGCCTTTTGTCACGTTAGCATGTTTGAATATCTTCTTACCCTTTTGAATCTTAGTAAATTTGAAGTCAACTGAGACTCCCTGTGGTTTTCCCCAAAACCTGATAATAAGTCAAGAGTTAAGAAGGTATGGAGAGGAAATTAAGCTGGAGTGCACTTTGGTCCCAGCTCCACTACAACACTATTTTGTGACCACAGGTAAGTATCTTGTCCTTTGTTTCTACAACCATAAATGGAAGGTTTAGATTAAATGATTTGTAGGGTTTAGTCAACCCATGTGTTTATTTTCATGCAGACAATTTGTTTTTTTTTTCCAAAATGTGGGACTTTTCATTTATACCAACAAATATTCCATGCTGTAGAAGTGTTTGTGTACATCATAACCCCCTTGATATTCACATTTTAAAATTGGAATCCATAGACAAACAGACACAGAATTCAGTTACTCTCTGAGAAGCTCCTAAATGTGAAAATGAATAAAACATGTTTGATTCCATCATGGTGTAGAGAGAAAACACTTGTGCCGCTTAAGGATCAATTAGGGAAGCATACCGCTACTATGAGTGATATGGAATGACAGATTAGAATGGACAGGATTGTGGAAGTTGTTGAAGATATTTATGGGAGGCTATCGCCTGTGCATCTGGTGGTGGGTCTAGAGTCTCTATATTCAGTAGGGCTAGCAGTTGGGAAAAAATATTGAACACGAACTGGGAAATGAGGACAGACTAGAATTTGTGAGGATAAATTGGAACCCATGTGTAGACTGAAGTCCTTATCTTTGTCTACCTTCAACCTTGACAAAGTGGGTGACCTGCAGAAGAAGCTGGACCCTTCTCCAACCAACCATAGGTACATCTGGTCCAGCACTTAGAGAGTATGAAGGAGGAGATATGAAGGGAAATAGAGGGAGTGAGGCCCAGCTGACCTGACACCAAGGGGTCCCAGCATATTAGCAATTATTGAGAATGCACTCTTGTGGTGAAAGAATGTTACATTAACCTTTATTTCTGCTTTCTAGATCTCATGCAAATTTCCTAGTGGTTAATACTAACTCAGAATGATACAGGAAAGGGAATTCTGAGGAATTCACTTTCAGATCAACACAACACAGTACAAAACCACCATAACAGTGTTTTCTGACTTAGTATTCGAAGGTCTATAAAAGAATATACAAGCAACACATAAAACAAATGTTAAAACAAACAATTCTGGTATAAATTGCTTTGACTACATAATGAAGTATAATAGTGTAACAGCTAAAAAGTCTAAAATAGCATTATCAATAATAAAATAAAAATAAAATTCATCAGTATATAAACGGACTTTAAGGTAAGTGTGACTTTGAAATCATCTAAGTATGACCTATCCACTTAGTACATTTAGCATGTGTGTGTGTAAGTATGTGTGTATATGTGTGCATATGAGGGATCATGGCTGTCTGATGAACAAGGGTCCTAGCAGCATTCTTTCTTCTGAAGTTTCTCTCTTGATCTTTCCCTCCTTGCTCACATGTTATGATTACATTTGTATATGGCATTATTTAGTTTGTATTTAATATTGTTTGCTTTCCATGGAAAGGAGTCTTTGGTCAGTTACGGTCTGTCATTGTGGTTTCAAACAAAGAAGTATGCCATTGCTAGACATCTTTATCCTGAATAGATAAATTACATGTAGTGTTAAAATAATACTACTATTTTGAATACTCAAAGTACATTCTGTGGTCCATAAATACATAGAACTAAGTATTTTAAATATGCCTCTAAAGACTCAGCAACTCAAGGTATTCTGTTCTCATTTGTATTAGAGTTCTTCAGGGAATCATAACCAATAGAACACACACACACACACACACACACACACACACACACACACACACACACGTATGCAGAAAGACATTTACCATAAAGAATTGGCTCACATGATTATGGAAGCTTGCCAAGTCCCAAGTAGTGTTATTCAGCAGATCCAGTAGAGCCAATGGTGTGCATATGGTGCAATTCCAGTCCAAAGGCCTGTAGGCCCAAGACTCAGAAAGAGCTGATGTTTCAGCTCAAGTCTAAAAGCAGTCAGTTGGAGAATTTTCTCCTACTGAGGGAGGGTCTGTCTTTTTGTTCTAGTCATGCCTTCAACTGATGGAATGTGGTCCATCCGCATTAGGAAGGGCAATCTGCTTTTCACAAATCCACAGATTTAAATGTTAAGCTCACCTCAAAACTTTTTCACAAAAGCACCCAGAATAATGTTTAATTCACTATCTGGGCACTGTGGCCCAGCTAAATTGACACATAAAATTAAGCATCATGTCATTAAAGGTTAAAACGGGACTTAAAATAATTTGCACTAAATTTGATGTATTTTACAGTCTTATTCTTTTTTTTTTTTTTTTTTTTTGAAATGGAGTCTCGCTCTGTCGCCCAGGCTGGAGTGCAGTGGCGCGATCTTAGCTCACTGCAACCTCTCCCTCCTGGATTCAAGCGATTTTCCTGCCTCAGCCTCCTGAGTAGCTGGAATTACAGGTGCGCGCCACCACGCCTAGCTAATTTTTGTAGTTTTAGTAGAGACGGGATTTCTCCATGTTGGCCAGGCTGGTCTCGAACTCCTGACTTCAGGTGATCCACTCGCCTTGGCCTCCCAAAGTTCTGGGATTACAGGCGTGAGCCACCGTGCCTAGCCTTAGTTATTCTTTACTTGCCTTCAAATGGCCAAATCAACCAAAACAAAAGAATCGTCTTAAACTCTACAAAATGATCTGGGGTTAATAAGGAAGAATTAATGAGGAATATATTACAAAGAGAATGGATAATGACTTTTTATTTGACCTACTAGAAGTAAAGCACACCTTTCACATCTAAGAAACTGACTTTTATGTCTGTTCTGTACTCTGAGATCTTTCCTTTATACCTTGTCATCTCCAGCTTACTATTAAGTCTTTCCTCAACTAATTTTACTGCATGTCACTCCTAGAATGCTAAACCATTACAGACACCCCAGAACTTTCTGTATGTGGTACGGCAAGATAGTAAATTAAAGAGGTGTTTGTTGTGCTGTTTTGCCAGATAAGGAAAGTTGAAAGGGAATTAAAAGTTTCAAGAGGTTATTAAGAACAACGGTGTTGGAGGATGGTGACAAATGAGATTTAGATGCTGACAACCTGTTTAATGTCAGGAGGAAATTTTACTTACGTAAATGTCATAAAATGTTGGTATTTACCTATTCATCATTTACTTAGAATTAGGCTATGCATTGGCACACTGAAACCACAAAAACAAAATCTAGTTGTTTTTGATAGCCACAGGTGTTACATAGCATTTCTATTTTTATTGAAACATCTGGATTCTGAATAAACTTTTAGAAGAAAAATTATTTTCTGCTCAATTAAGATCACTTAAATTTCTCCTATTAATTAAACATTAAAATTTCCCTATAGTATAACTAATTAATTCTTGAAATATGAGAATCACCATGAAGAAAACGGTTTATGGTAATCATTTGCATAAATTCAAGCCTATGCCATGGTGATTAAGACAGGAGATACATACAAATTAAACACCAGTGGGAGGAGACAAAATGTGAATTTTCTTATAACTTCAGCACAAAATGACAGACCCTCTACTGATTTTACTTTTTCATCTTAACTATCAAAATTCTTAACTTACATGTGTGAATTTGATGAAAAGTTTAAAATTTGTCAATTCTATAGAAGTAATGAACTGAATTTTCCTCAAAGAACACTATATTTAATATGAAGTCAAGCCCTATATTTTTTCACAATTCAAGACACTTTAAAAAATCACACATTAAGTTTTTACAATTTTTACAAAGTTCTTTTATTATTGTTTTCAAATACCAAGGTAAGGAAGTTAAGGAACTGGTTAAAATCTCTTTTAGTGGGTATCTTTATTGGAACATGAGCCTGACACTTGAAATCAGTGCTAAAGCAGATTACCCAGGCACTCTACACAGGAGCCATTTAGGACAAATAAATCATATTTTGTGCCTCTCTCTACCTTAAAAGCTTGTGTTTTATAGAAAGAGTCAGCCTAACACCAACTTTATGGGTGGTTTTCAAGGGGATGAATATATTACAAAGAGGATTGAGTGGAAGATGGAGGTTTATTCCACCTGCTGTGACCTGAGAATTGTCCCCCTAATTGTTCACCTGCCAGCACAGGTCCACGAAAGATGTTGATGAGACTACCAGTTTGAGCTGACCAACTGAGTGAAGACATCTGGCTATTATTACAAAGCCTAGAAAGTGGTTGCTGTTGGTGACTTATGTGATTTATCGTAGGCAATCTGAGTACAGATTGGAGGCATAGATGTAGAAAAATGTTAATCTGCAATTTGCTAGGTTAGAACTAGAAGCCAAATTGTGAATAACAACATTGATAAAGTTAGTATAGAGGGCAATCTGAATACAGATTGGAGGCATAGATGTAGAAAAATGTTAATCTGCAATTTGCTAGGTTAGAACTAGAAGCCAAATTGTGAATAACAACATTGATAAGGTTAGTATAGAAAACAACATCAATTATCTCTCACCTTTAGATCTACCCGGACCAGTAAGAGTATCACTCACGTAGTCTACTAAGGTTAGGGTGAATTTGGCAAAAATATTATGAGTACTTTCAGAAGGTGTCTAAAAATATAAAAAGCATGTAGCTGAAAATTTATGTGAACTTTCAGCAATTGTTAGGTGTTTGGACCATTTTGAGTTGTTACTTGCCTGCCTGGTTGTGAAGCAGACCAGAATTAGAACTAGTTCTTATTGTTTGTATATAATTGGTTTATGAAAAATCTGAGAAGTGTGAACCTCTTTTGCTTTAATATAGGTGCAGAAAAAAATGTCAAATTTATCACTTCCCTATTCCAAAGTGTGGTTATAATCCAAGGAACTGACAGGGTTTAGTAGGCAGGTAAAAGGAGAAATTGGAAAGGAAGCACAAAAAATGTTATTTGGACTCAGAGAATCTGGGTTAGGAAGTCTTAGATCTTATAGTAAAAGCCAAGGGGCAGAGATGTGAATGGAATGGCTCTCAGAAATCATGTAAGAGGACTTTAAGTATATTCCATCCTGTAATCTGGAGCAATGAAGTCAGAGAGCTGATAGGACAAAAGTAGATCCAATAAGTAGCTGAGAATGTGAATAGCTCTAACGAGCCTCCACTGAGGCTTGAAGAGGAGAGGCAAAGGATAATAAATGTGCTGTCTTCAATACTCGGTACTAATTCAAAGAGTTTGTACAGTTTCCTGTATAGATAGCCTTTGGAAGAATATAGATGAAATGATGAATAACATATTATCAAGGTACTATCATTACTAAGAATGCTACCTTACATTTGCATAATGCTTAATAGCTTTCAAAGTACTATAATATAAGTGAGCTTATGGTTCATATGATTTTCACAATCCCTGTGAAATATATACAACAGGTAACATTTTATAAGCCTGTAGGCAAGGAAATTTGAATGAGAGTTACAAATACTTAATTATCTTATCTGCCATCGCCATAATCTGTAAACAAGTGAACTGGAACCCAGACACCAGTTTTATAATTAGAAATGCAGATCTCTGATTGATGATCATGTTAAAAATACCATGATATAATTTATGAACACTAAATATATTTGATGATATATTTAGATATTGCGAAGTATATAATACATAATACTTTGTTGTGTTTGGGTATTATTCTATCAGGGCCAGAGTCTTGGTCTAGAAAATTTTGGTCTAATCAATGTGATCTGTGATTTCCCATGAAGAGATTGGAAAGGTTAACAAAAGGGATAAATAGCTAAGCCTGAGAAATGAGTGACATCAAATTGCAGTCAAGGAGGAGGGCATGAGTGGAGAAGTAGTTACCTTTTACCTTGGTTCTCTGAACCATTTGGAAACACATTCTTACATGGGATGGCATTCTGATCCTTCATAAACCCAGAACTCTTTCTGGAAGCTGAAATATTAGTATTGAATAAGCTTTATTTTAAGACAGAAAACCTTGGAGTATTGATAGGGCTTCTGAACACGCTTCTGAACTGGGATTGTGACAATTTCTAACCACGGCCAGAGGCAATGTAGGCTACTGGAAGAACATGGTGGCCGATACTTATCCTAGCTATGCTATTTACTGCAGGTCATTTAATGTTGTTAATGCTTGAGTTCACTTGGCTATGTAAAAACGACAAAATGACTCTAATTAGGTAAAAGTATTTTGCTAGCATCAGTTGTTACAAATATCATTCCTACTAAGAAGATGCTCCTTCGGAGCATTCCTCTTTAAAGACTTCTGAAGTCATTTCTAGAATTTCTAGAACTACATCACACTGAGTCAAGGACAGAAACTTTAGAAAGAATTTGTATTTTTTTGGCTGGACATGATGACAGTCACTAGTGAGGAGAGGGAGGTAGAAGCAGCAGCTGCTCTTGCAGCTGCAGAAAGTTGCTGACACAGGACTCAGTTGAGAAAGCACTGAATGGAGTGCCGTAATTTGGTGGAGAAAGGCAAAGAGAAAGCAAAGCAGCATGCAGTGAAGAATGACTCAGAGAGTTTTCCCTACCCAGAACTTTGTTCTGCTAGAGTTATCTTCAACATTTCTCTCATTGTAAACTGGAGGCTTGGAATCAGCAAAAGACAGAAAAGAGTCTCTGATGATCACCCAGATGGAGGTGTTTTGTTTTACAGAACATAGAAATAGAGGTGTACTTGCATACAGAAAAGAAGCACAAAGAGTGGATGGGCATCTGTAGAGAAGAGATGTTTAGTGACTTCAGATAGAGCAGCATCACTTGATAGCTCTCTGGGGGACCTTAAGAAATGGATTCATTATGTTTTGTTTCCTTCTTTGAGGAAGATACTAGAATTTATCCCTAAACACTACAAAATAAAAGAAATCTAACTCCATTCTCATCTAAGCTTACTCCTAGCCCAATAAATAAGATCTGCAAACAGCTTACAAACAATGCAGACTGGTCCTAGTATTGTTTTAATAATTAATGGAGGTAAAACAAACATATTTAGATAATTTAGTGCTACAAGTATTATTTCCTAAACTGCGCTTCTAGATAGTATTTACATAAAATAAAATTTGCCAGTTTTAAATGTACAATTTCATGAGTTTATGAAATGTGTGCAGTCATGTAAGTACCATCACAATCACAAATAGAACATTTCTAGCATGAAAAAAATGTTCCCCTATAACTTTTTACAGTCAATCCCCTCTTCGTGCACCTGGTACTTGAATAATAAAACTGATACATTTCTAATACTATAGCTTGTTCTTTTCTAGAATTTCATATACATGGTATACAGAATATAATTTTTAATTTTGAGTTTACATATTTTATTTCCTATATCAGTTTCTTTTTAAGGCTAAATAATATTCTCTTATATGGATACATCACAATGTGTTTTTCCCTTTGCCATATGAAAAACAATTTTCTTGTTTCCAGTTTTTGCTTATGATGGATAAAGCTTCTATGAACACTCACATATAAGTCTGAGTATAGATATGTGTTTTCATGTCTTTTCAGATAACATGTAGAAATGAGATTGTCAGGTCACAGGGATGTGTGTGTTTATAAGAAATTACCAAATGGTTTCCGAAGTGAATACTATTTTGCATTCCTACTAGCAGCGTATGAGAAAGCAAGTTGTTTAATTTATTGTCAACACTTGAAATTATTAGCACTCTTAATCTGAGCTATCATGGTGGGTATGCAGTAGCATCTCATGGCTCTTTATCCAATGTGAAATGATGTTGAATATTGCCATTTGTTCATACTTCACATTTGGTAAAGTGTCTGCATAAAGCTTTTGCCCACTTTTTGTTTGATTTTGTCCTGTTATGATTAACTGGTAAGAAATTTTATACATTCTGGATTTGTCTTTAATCAGGTATAACTTTTGCATATATTTTCCCCAGTGTTGTAGGCCCTTTTATTTTCTTAAGTGTCTTTTGAAATACAAAATTAAAGTTAATTAAATCCGATTTATCAATTTTTATTTTATAGTTCATCCTTGATCTGTCCTATCTAGGAAATCTTTGCCTACCCCTAATCACAAAGACTTACTTTTTATATTCTTGTATAAGTTTTACATTTTTTAGTTCTCACATTTTTCATCCATTTCAAATTACTTTCTGTGTATGGTGTGAGGTTAGGATCATTATTTAGTGCTTTACTTAATTATTTTGCATATATTCTATTGTTCCAGCACCATTTGTTGAATAACTACCCTTTTTACAATAAAATATCTCAGCACCTCTATTGAAAATCAAATGACAATTTATATGTGTGTCTATTTCTGGACTCTGTTTTCTCTGCCATTCACCTCTATGTCTACTTTCATGAAAACACCACACTGCCTTGGTTACAGTGCTTATTCCTAATCTTAAAATTAATTATATGTATTTTAAAATTTTGTTCTTTTCAAAATTGTTTTGTATACTCTAGATCCTATGCACTTCCTCATTAATTCTAAAATCAGCTGGTTAGTTTCTTCAAATGACCTCCTATAATTTTATTTGAGATTGTTTTGCATCTTTAAATAAATTTGGGGAGAACTGACATTATAATATTATTGAATTCATTTATTTCAGTCATCTTAGATTTATTTCAGCAATTCTTTGTAGCTTTAAGCATAGATATTGCTCATATTTTGTTAAATTTATCACTAAATATTTCATATTTTGATGCTATTGTTTTTTAAAAATAATGTACAATTCTTATGAGTATATAGAAATGTAATTGATTTTTGTATATTGACTTTACATCTACAAATTTGATAAATTTGCTTATTAGTTTGTATAGATTTTTGGAGATTTGGGGGAAGGATCGTTTATGTTTATCTGGGAAGATATAATTTTGCTGTTTTTCTTTCCCATCTCTGCTTTGTCTATTTCTATTTTTCTGCCTTTATACACAGGCTATATAATGTTGAATAGAGCAAAAGCATTTAGCTGTAGTCCCAGCTACTCAGGAGGATGAGGTGGGAGGATCACTCAAGCCCAGCTAGTCAAGGCTGCAGTGAGCCATGATCCTGCCACTGCACTCCAGCCTGGGTGACATAGTGAGACCTTGTCTCAAAAAAAAAAAAAAGTCCTTATTTATCTCTGGTAATATATATTGCTTTTGATCTACTTTCAGTGATACTTATCTATCCATTTTTGCTTCATTATATTTTAATTCAGGTTTTTAGAGATGTAATTTTCATATAATAAAATTCAAACTTTGTATATTTAATGAGTTTGATAAATGTATACATTTGTCTAGCCACCAGCATAATCAAGACAAAAACAATTTTATTATTGCACTAAGTTCTCTGGGTATGCTTTCAAGTTACTCTTTTCCCCCCATCTTTATCCCCCTATGACTCACTCATCTATTTTTTATTCCTATAGATTAGCATTTTCCAGAATGTAACATAAATTGAATCAAACAGTATGTAGCCTTTTTGTGACAGTAATGTTAGTATCTTGTTCCTTTTTATTGCTGAGTAATATTTCATTATATTGGTGTACTGCTCTTTGTTTATCCATTAATGAATTAATAGACATTTGGTTTTTCCAATTTAGAGCTATATGGATTGAGCTCTGGAAGTATTCATGTATAAGTCTGCCTGTGGACATGCATTTTTATAAAGTTCTATGTTTTAGGAGATAAACAATAGGAATCTTGGGAAAACACACAGGAATAAAAATAGACAAAAAGTTTCAAAGCATGGTACAAGTAAGGTGGAGACATCTTCAGTGAATCTGTTCTAGACTGAGTTCTACCTTCAGTGAATACAATCCAATAGTGATCGATTTAACTAAAAATGTTATAAAACCATGTTAGGCAGCTATCAGAGTATTTGGAGAGCTAGATAAAGAACTGCCAGACAAGCTTCTAGGAATAATAATGACCTAAACCAATTGAAGAATGGGCTGAGTATAAAAATGCTGAGGGGGTATCCATTGCCTCCTCAAGCTATTAAGAAATTGTTGCCATAATCACACCAGTGTTTTTCCTATTTCAGGAAATGAAGCTTGCAATATTGCCAGACCACAAAGCCAGACATCTCTGCTACATTTTCTAGCAAAAGAGGTTTCATGGAGAGCTTACTTCCTCAAGTTCACTTTGGTCTTAATGAACGGTTAAGTCTCATGGGTGGAACACAGATTATCTACCTGTGCTTTAACTACAAAGTAGCCTGGTGAGGTAAGTTTTTCCATGTCCTATTTTGAAGAGGAAGAATTTGTAATATTAGGCATTATCTAAATATATTAATATTTTACAAAATATTTGGATCAGCCAGAAAATATGGCAAACATCTGCAGTATTCTCTTTGATACTTCTTGTTTAAATAAGGTATGGGTTCAAGGTAGAGTTTCATATTTATGGTGAATGAAATGAGAAAAGCTGCAGAGGGTGTTAGCCACAGTATTTTCCTTAACAGATAGGAATTTAATGGGCAAAAATAGGCATAAACTAGAGGAAAAGAGACCATAAGCCTTTTGAAGACAGGAACTGTTGGTTATTTTTGGTTTCATTTTCATTTGCATGTTTGTGTGTGTGGGTCTGTGTCTGTGTGTGTGTGTTTAATATTGTCTTATTAACCTAAATAAATGAATACTTGGCACATCATAGGTATTCAATATTAGTTGAATAATAGGTATTCAATATTAGTTGAATATTGAATACCTATTAATTGAATATTTTTCAGATGACTAAAGTATATTGGCACACAGAAAGGAGAATACAACTAATTGCAACCTCTGATTACAAATGACAGTGCAGTGGGAAACTATTTATTTTATGAAAATAGTTCTTACTTAATAAAATACATTTTATATGTTCTATTTATATAAAACATTTTCTCGAATGATATTTAAAATGGATTTTATAAAGGAGGCAGAGCAAGATAGCCAAATAGAATCCTCCAGTGATTGTTCCTTCACCCTCTGCAGGAACACCAAGTTGGGCAATTAGCCACACAAAAAGCACCTTCCTAAGAACCCAAAATCAGGTGATTGATCATGGTACTTGGTTTTAACATCATATTAAAGAAAGAGGCAATAAAGAGGATGGGAAAGACAGTCTTTAATCGCCTGCCCCACCCCTCCCTCATTCTCTGGCAGCAGCCATGTGGCACGGAGAGAGAATCTGTGTGCTTAGGGGAGGGAGAGCATAGTGATTATGGGACTTTGTATTGGAACTCAGTGCTGCCTGTGACAGCTGAAAGCAACATGGGGCAGAAATTGGCTGGCAGCCACAGAAAGAGCATATAGATCAGACCTAGCTAGAGGCAAACCATCCAACCCAGCGGTCAGAACCTGAGTTCCAGAATCCCCACCAGGGTAGGCCAAATAACTCTGGGGTCCTACATAAACTTGAAAGGCAATCTAGGCCACAAGGACTGCAATTCCTGGGCAAGTCGTTATGCTGTGCTGGGCTCAGAGCCAGTGGACTTGCGGTGCACGTGACCTAGTGAGACACCAGCTGGGATAACCAAGGAGTGCTTGCATCGACCCTCCCCCAATCCCAGGCAGTGAAACTCATAGCTCTGGAAGAGTCACCTTCCTTCCCTCTGACTGAGGAGAGAAGAGAGTAAATAGAATTTTGTCTTGCAACTGGGATACCAGCTTAACCACAATAGAATAGGGCACCAAGCCGAGTCCTGAAGCCCCCATTCCAGGCCCTAGCTCCTACACAACATTTCTAGATACACCAGAAGTGAACTCCTCTGCCTTGAAGGGAAGGACCCAGTCAAGGCAGAATTCATCACCTGCTAACGAAAGAGCCCCTGGATGCAGAATAATCAGTGGTAGCCAAGCAGTACTTGTCATGAGTCCTGAGTAAGACTCAGAGCCATACTGGCTTCAGATGTGACCTACACATTTCCAGCTGTAGCATCTATGGGGAGAGACCTTCTTTTTGAGGAAAGCAGAGGGAAAAGTAACAGGGACTTTGTCTTGCAGCTTGGGTACCAGCTCAGCCACAGTAGTGTAGAGCACCAAACAGCCACCTGGGATCACAGATTCCAGGTCTTGGCTCCTGCATGGCATTTTGGGACCTGTTCTTAGCCAAAGAGAAGCCCACTGTCCTTAAGAGAGAGACTCACAAATGGCAGCACTCACACGAGTTAACTGAAGAGCTCCTGATTTTTGAGTGAATATCAGGGGTAGCCAGGCAGTACTCACAATGGACCCAGGGTGATGGTGATGATCATTAAGAAAGAATCACTTGCTTGAGGAAAGGAGAGGGAAGTAGGAAGGACTTTCTCTTGTGGCTTAAGTGTCAGGTCAGCCACAGTAGAAAAAAGCAAAAGGCATATTCCTAAGGTTTCTGACTCTAGGCCCTGGCTCCCAGACAGCACCTCCAGACCTGCTTGGGGCTGGGGTAACTTGCCACCCTGAAGGGAGGGAAACAGGCCTGGCTGGTATTGCTACCTTCTGATTGTAGACTCCTTGAGCCTTGAGGAGACATAATGAGTAGACAGGTAGTGGTCACTGCAGGGCTTGGATGAAACCTAGTACTGTGCTGGTTTCAGGTTTGACCCAGTGCAGTTCCACTGGTGTTGGCCACAAGGGTGCTTGTGTCACCCCTACCCAAGCTCTAGGCAGCTCAGTACGGAGAGAGAGAGAGAGAGAGAGAGAGATTTCTTTTGTTTAGGGGAAGTAAGGGAAGAGAACAAGGGTCTCTACCTGTTAATCTAGAGAATTCTCCTGGATCTTACCCAAGACCCCAAAGCAGTACCTCTACAAGTCTTCAAGAGCCACAGAATTATAGAGTTTGAAGTGCCACCTAAAGCAGATATGGCTGCAGTGACCAAATACTTACATCAAAACATCCAAGTCCCCACAAATACCTGAAAACTTTTCCCAAGGAGAATTGGTAAAAATGAATTCAGACTGTGAAGACTACAGTAAATACCTAACTCTTCAATGCCCAGGCACTGATGGAGATCTAAAAGCATCAGGACCATCTGGGAAATCATGGCCTCACCAAATGAACTAAGTAAGGAACCAGTGACCAATCCTGGAGAGACATAGGTAAGTAACCTTTCAGACAGAGAATTAAAAATAACTGTTTTGAGGGAGCTCAATAAAATCCAAGATAACACAAAAGGAATTCAGAATCCTATCAGGGATAGATTTAACAAAGAGATTGAAATTATTTTTAAAAAAGCAGAAATTCTGGAGTTGAAAAATGCGTATGACATACTAAAGAATGCATCAGAGTCTCTTAACAGCAGAAATTGAGCAAGTAGGTGAAATAATTAGTGAGTATAAAGACAGGCTATATGAAAATCACCGAGGAGACAAAAGAACAAAGAAAAAAAAAATGAAGCACATTTTTACAAGTTAGAAAATAGCCTCAAAAAGACAAATCCAAGAGTTACTGCCCTTAAAGCAGAGGTAGAGAAAGATATCAGGCTAGAAACTTATTCAAAGGGATAATAGCAGATAACTTCCCACACCTATGGAAAGGTGTCAATATTCAATTACAAGGAGGTTATAGAATACCAAGCAGATTTAACCCAAAGAATACTACCTCAAGACATTTAATAATAAGACTCTCAAAGACAAGGATAATGAAATGATCCTAAAAACAGAAAGAGAAAAGTAGCAAATAACAAATAAAGGAGCTTCAATACATGTGGCAGCAGACTTCTCGGGAAAACTCACAGGCTGGGAAAGAGTGACATGACATATTAAAAGTGCTGAAGCAGAATTTTTTTTATATCCTAGAATAGTATATCCAGTGAAAATATCCTACAAACATAAAGGAGAAAAAAATACTTTCTTAGACAAAAAAGCTGAGGCATTTTGTCAACATTAGATCTGTCCTGCAAGAAATGCTAAAGTGGGTTCTTCAATCTGAAAGAAAGGACATTAATGAGTAATAAGAAATTATCTGAAGGTACAAAACCTCCTGTCTTTGGTAACTGTGGAGAAAAATGCAGAATATCATAATACTGCAATTGTGGTGTGTAAACTACTCATATCTTGAATAGAAAGACTAAAAAATGAACTGATAAAAAATAATAACTACAACAACTTTACAACACATAGTATGATAATATATAAATAGAAATAATAAAAAGTTTAAAAGTGGAGAAGGAATTAAAGTGTAGAGTTTTTATTAGTTTTCTCCTTGCTTGTTTGTTAATTTGTTTGTGCAATCAATGTAAAGTTGTCATCAGTTTGTAATAATGGGTAATGGCCGGGTGCGGTGGTTCATGCCTGTAATCCCAGCACTTTGGGAGGCTGAGGTGGGAAGCTCACCAGAGGTCAGGAGTTAGAGACCAGCCTGACTGACATGGAGAAACCCCATCTCTACTAAAAATACAAAATTAGCCAGGTGTGGTGGCACATGCCTGTAATCCCAGCTTCTTGGGAGGCTGAGGCAGGAGAATCCCTTGAACCTGGGAGGCGGAGGTTGCGGTGAACTGAGATTGTGCCATTGCACTCCAGCCTGATCAACAAGAGTGAAACTCTGTCTCAAAATATATATATATTATATATATATTTATATATATATAATATATATATATAAAATGGGTAATAAGATAGTATTTGCAAGCTTCATAGTAACTTCAAATAAAAAAACACACAAAAAATGAAAGGCAATCACGCCTGTAATCCCAGCACTTTGGGGGGCCGAGGTGGGTGGATCACGAAGTCAGGAGATTGAGACCATCCTGACTAACACAGTGAAACCCCGTCTCTACTAAAAATACAAAAAATTAGCCGGGCGTGGTGGCGGGTGCCTGTAGTCCCAGCTACTTGGGAGGCTGAGGCAGGAGAATGGTGTGAACCCGGGAGGTGGAGCTTGCAGTGAGCCGAGATCTTGCCACTGCACTCCAGCCTGGGCGACAGAGCAAGACTCCGTCTCAAAAAAAAAAAAAAAAAAGAAAGGCAAACAATTTAAACATACCACCTAAGAAAATTATGTTCACTAAAGGAAGATAGGAAGTAAGGACAGAAGGAAGAGAAAACCACAAAACAACCAGAAAACAAATAACAAAATGGCAGGAGTAAGTTCTTACTAATCATTAATAACATTGAATGTAAATGGACTAAACTCTTCAATCAAAAGACATAGAGTAGTTGAATGGATAAAAAAAAAAAAGAAGACTCAATTGATCTCTTGCTGACAGAAACACACTTCACTTATAAAGACATACATACATAGACTGAAAATAAAGTGATAGAACGATATTCCATACAAATGGAAACCAAAAAGAGCAGAGGTAGCTATACTTATATTAGACAAAATAGATTTCAAGACAAAAACTGTAAACTACAAAAAGAGACAAAGAGGCTATTATATAATGATAAATATATCAATTTAACCAGTAATTATATAGTAATCATAAATATGGATGCACCCAACACTGAAGTAGACAGATACATAGAGCAAATATTCTTAGAGCTAAAGAGTGAGATAGACCAAGTGTGGTGTCTCATGCTTGTAATCCCAACACTTTTGGAGGCTGAGTTGGGAAGATTGCTTGAGCCCAGGAGTTCAAGACCAACCTGGGCAACATGGCAAGACCCGTGTCTACAAAAATTTTTAAAAACTAGCCTGGTGGCACATGCTTGTAGTCTCAGCTTCTCGGGGGGCTTAGATTGAATGATTGCTTGTGCCAAGGATGTTAAAACTCTATTGAATCATGTTTGTGTCACTACACTCAAGCCTGAATGATGGAGTAAGACCTTGTCTCAACAAAATAAAATAATATAAAGTGATTTCTTTTTAAAAAGAGAGAGAGAGAGAACCCAATACAAAAATATTTGGAGATGTTAACACCTGACTTACAGCACTGGGCAGATCATCCAGACAGAAAATCAACAAAGAAACATCAGATTTAATCTACACTATAGACCAAATGGACCTAATAGATATTTACATATATTTGATCCAATGGCTGCAGAATACAAATTCTTCTACTCAGCAAATTAATCATTCTCAAGTATAGAGTATATACTGGCCACAAAACAAGTCTTAAAACATTAAAACAATAAAAAAGGAAGTCTCACCAAGAATATTCTCTGACCACAATAGAACAAAACTGGAAATCAATAATGAGGAACTTTCAAAGTTATGCAAACACATGGAAATTAAATAATATGCCCCTGAATGACCAGTGGGTCAATGAATAAATTAAGAAAAAATGAAAAAAAATGGAAACATATGAAAATGAAAACACAACATATTAAAACCTATGGGACACAGGGAAAGCACTACTAAGAAGAAAGTTTGTAGCAATAAATTCCTACATCAAAAATGTAGAAAACTTCGCAATAAACAACCTGCTGATGTATCTTAAAGAACCAGAAAAACAAGAGCAAACCAAAGCCAAAATTAGTAGATGAAAATAATAATAATAAATATCAGAGCAGAAACAAATGAAATTAAAACAAAGAAAATAATATCAAAAAAATCAACAAAATTAAAAATTGGTAATTTGAAAAAAATAAACAAAATTGACAACTAGGCAAAAAGGATAAAAGACCCAAATAAATAAAATCAGAGATGGAAAATGGTACATTAAAACTAATACCACATAAATTCAAATTATCATTAGAGGCTACTATAAGCAGCTGTATACCAATATATTGGAAAACCTAGACATAATGAATAAATTCCTAGACACATGAAACTTACCAAGATCGAACCATGAAGAAATTTAAACAAGAACAGATCAATAGCAAGTAATGAGATTGAAGCTGTGGCAAAAATCTCCCATCAAAGAAAAGCCCAGGACCCAAAGTCTTCACTGCTGAAGTTTATGAAACATTTAAAGAAGAACTAACACAAATTCTACTCAAACTATTTCAAAAAATAGAGTGAGAGGAATACTTCCAAATTCCTTCTACAGGACTAGTATTACCTGGATAACAAAATCAGTCAAAGACACATAAAAAAAATAAAACTACAGGTCAATATCCCTGATGAACATTGATGCAACTGCTCTCAACAAAATACTAGCAAACTGAATTCAACAACACATTAAAAAGACAATTTATCATGACCATGTGAGATTCATCCCAGGGATACAAGGATGATTTGACAAGTGCAAAGCAATGTGATACATCATCAACAGAATGAAGGACAAAAAATATGGTCATTTCAATTAATGCTGAAAAAGCATTTGATAAAATTCAACATCCCTTCATGATAAAAACTTTCAAAACACAGGGTATAGAGGGAGCATACCTCAACATAATAAAAACCACAAATGACAGACCCACAGCTACTGTCAGACTAAATGAGGAAAAACTGAAAGCCTTTTCTCTCAGATTAGGAATAAGGCAAGGAAGTGCAATTTTACCACTGTTATTCAACATAGTACTGGAAGTCCTAGCTAGATTAGTCAGATAAGAGAATGAAATAAAGGGCATCTAAATTGGAAAGAAAGAGGGCAAATTATTTTTGTTTGCAAATGATACAGTCTTATGTTTGGAAAAACCTAAAGAATCCACCAAAACACTGCTAGAACTGATAAATTCAGTAACGTTGCAGGATATAAAATCAACATGCAAAAGTCAATAACCTTTTTATACGCCAATATCAAACAATCTGAAAAGAAATCAATAAATTAATTCCATTTACAGTGGCTACAAATAAAATAAAATACCTGGAAATAAACTTGTCTAAAGAAATGAAAGTTCTCTGCAATGAAAACTATAAAACATTGCTGTAAGAAATCGAAGATGACACAAAGAAATGGAAGATATTTTATGTTTATGGATTGCAAAATCAATATTGTTAAAATTTTCATACTTCCCAAAGTAATCTACAGATTCAATGCAATCTCTATCAAAATACCAATGACATTCCTCACAGAAACAGAAAAAAAATCCTAAAATTTACAGGGAACCACAAAAGACCCAGAATACCCAAAGCTATCCTAAGCAAAATGAACAAAAGGAGAGGAATCACATTACCCAACTTCAAATTATACTGCAGAGCTATAAGCAACCAAAACAGCATGGCAGTGGCATAAAACAGACACATACATCAATATAGCAGAATAGAGAACCCAGAAACGATTCCATACATCTATAGTAAACTGATGTTCGACAATGGTGTCAAGAACATACATTGGGGAAATAACAGTCTCTTCAGTAAGTGGTGCTGGGAAAACTGGATGACCATATTCAGAAGAATTAAGAATCCTAGACCCCTATCTCTTGCCATGTACAAAAATCAAATCAAAATGGATTAAAGACTTAAATCTGAGACCTCAAACTATGAAACTGCTACAAGAAAACATTGGGAAGACTCTCCAGTGTTTCTCTACTGGGAAAACATTGCACTGGGAAAATATTTCTTGGGTAATACCCTACAAGCACAGATCACCAAAGCAATAATGGACAAATAGGATCACATCAGTTTATAAAGCTTCTGCACAGCAAAGCAAAGAACAACCCACAGAATGGTAGAAAGTATTTGCAAACTATCCATCTGACAAGGGATTAATAAATAAGGAGCTCAAACAACCTTATAGGAAAACATCTAATAATCCAATTTAAAAATGGGCTAAAGATTTTAATAGACATTTCTCAGAAGACCTTCAGTGGCAAACAGCTGTGTGAAAAGATGCCCAACATCATTGATCATCAGAGAAATGGAAGTCAAAACTGTAATGAGTTATGATGTTACCTCAGTTAAAATGTCTTATAAAAAAGTCAGACAATAACAAATGGTGATAAGGATGTGAAGAAAAGGGAACCCTCATACACTGTTGGTGGGAAAGTAAATTAGTACAACTACAATATAGAACAGTTTAGAGCTTCCTTAGAATCTAAAAATTTAGCAACCATATGATCCAGATATCCCACTGCTGAGCATATACCCAAAAGAAAGATAATCAGTATATCAAAGAGATGTCTTGCACTCCCATGTTTATTCCACACTATTCAAAATAGCCAAGATTTGGAAGCAACCTGTGTCCATCAACAGATAATTGGATAAAGAAAATGTGATACTTATACACAATGGAGTCCTATTCAATCACAAAAAAATGTGACCCTGTCATTTGCAACAACATAGCTAGAACTGGAGGTAATTGGGTTAAGTGAAATAAGCCAGGCAGAGAAAGACATGCTTTGCATATTTTCACTTATTTGTGTTTGCTACAAATTAAAACAATTGAACTCATGGAGATAGAGAGTAGAATGATGGTTACCAGAGGCTGGGAAGGGTAGTGGGAAGCAGTGGGGAAGTGGGATGGTTAATGGTTACAAAAATATAGGATGAATAAGATATAGCATTTGATAGCAAAACAGGGTGATTACAGTCAGCAACAATTTATCGCACATTTTAAAGTAACTAAAAGAGTAAAACTGAATTGTTTGTAACACAAAGAAAGGATAAATACTTGAGGGGAGGGATGTTCCATTTACCCTGACATGATTATTATGCATTGTATGACTGTATCAAAATACCTCTTATATCTACTTTGTACCCATAAAAATTTAAAATAAAAAAATTCTAAGGCAAAAGTATTTTAATTTAAAACTGTTTTTACATGTAACTTTTCCAGATATACAGTTTATTGCTTGCATAAATCAGTATATATTTTATCTTATTACTACCACACCTGAGATATGTTACATTTGATTTTACCATATGAATGTAATAAACCTAATAGTCATAAGAAACTTCAGATAGAATGACTCCGTTCTAATAAACCCTGGCAGAAAAGTAGGGTGGAGTTAAAGAGTAAAAAGGAAAATTAAAGATTATCGAGAAGTCAGATAATAATACCTAAAATATTATATTTTTGTTTTGCTATATCTGTCCTTTGAATAAATATGCTATTTGAGGTTTTCTGTTGAACTACTGTGGTAACCGTGAGGGTTTCCCACTGCGTTTTACTTTAAATAAACCTGCTGTGGGTTGCATAGCTGATGAACAGCCTTTAGCTGCTAGACTTTCAAGTCCACCATGGACATTTCCTTTGAGGTGCTTGCAGCCGATAACTAAGGTTGGCTAAAAAGCAGAAATAGGGCTATTCTGCTCCATGTGCAATTTCTTTAACAAGTAACTTTAGCTTGAGGATTCCCTGTCAGCCTAACATTGTGGTTTAATGGCATTTCTTTACAACTCTTTCTTCTCTCTCCTTTACTCACAGATGTCAGACTTGCATTATTGTCTGGGCTCTCTCCAAGCCTGCTTCACTCCTTCTTTATCCTTTAAAGATGTTCAGTCACCTCCAATAAATCTCTCGCTTGCCTATTTCCTTCTTGGTGCCCATTTTCTGCATCTCAGAACACATGAAATAGCACAGTTGTGTTAATAAAGATCCAAATTTTCAAAATTAAAAAATACCCCAATAAAAACAGTATTATTGGATGATTTTTTTGATTAGCTGCTTAAATTCCATTAACTGCACCTAAAGAAAGTATAGCATTTAGGCCTACCAATGCAAGAACTGTTGTAGCACCACACTCCAAGTGTTAAGGAGAAAAATCCAAAGTTTGTTATCTTTTAATGAGTTTTTCACAAAGCATTAAGTATAATCACTTTTAAAACCACTTTTGTGGTATGATTGACATACAAAAAGCTATACATATTTAATGTATACAGCTTGAATTTCAGGATAACTATAACAATGAAACTATCACCACAATCTATGTCATAAATATATCCATCACTGTATTCTCCCATCCTTTTAGTTATCATTATTATTGTTTTAAGATAATTACACTTTTAACATAAGATCTAACCTTTTAGCAAAATTTTAAGTATATGAAACAGTACTGTTAATTATAGTCACTGTGTCGTACAGCAGAACCTCTAGAACTGTTTCTTGTATAAAACCATGACTTTACTTTTGACTAATACTTCCCTGTTTTCCCCTATCCTGCCCTAGGAACTAGCATTTTACTTTATACTTCTACGGGTTTTACTTTTAGATTCCACATATAAGTAAGACCATGCAGCATTTATCTTCCTGTGCCTGTCTGATTTCACTTAGCATAATTTCCTTCAAATTCAATCATGTTGCAAATGACAGCCTCTTTTAAGGCTGAATAATATTTCGTTGTGTATATATATATACACACACACATATATATACATATATACATATACATATATATACATATATACATATACATATATACATATATATTTCTCTATATACATTCATCTGTTGGTGGATACTTAGGTTGATTATTTATCTTTGCTATTGTGAATAATGCAGCAATAAACATGAGAATGCAGATATCTTTTCAACATTCTTGCTTTATTTCCTTTGAAAATATACCCAGAAGTGGGATTGCTGTTTAATATGATTGTTCTGTTTTTAATTTTTGAGAAACCACCATACTGTTTTCCATAATGACTACACCAATTTACATTTCTACCAACAGTCTACAAAGGTTTCCTTTGCTTCACACCCTTGCCGACATTTCTCCCTTTTTCTGATACCCGCCATCCTAACAAGCGTGAGACAATATCTCCTTGCAGTTTTGACTTGCATTGCCCTGATGACTGGTAATGTTGAGCATTTTTCAGTATATTTGTTCACTATTTGTAGACCTTTTTTTTTTTTTTTTTTTTGAGAAATGTCTATTCAGGTTTTTTGCCCTTGATTTTTCACTATTGAGTTGTTTGAGTTCCTTACGTATTTTGGATATTACCGCCCCCCCTTATGAGATGTAGGGTTTGCAAATATATTCCCCCATTCTGTAGGTTGTCTCTTCACTCTGTTGTTTCCTTTTCCATGCAGAAACTTTTCAGTTGGATGAAATCCCATTTGTCTGTTTTTGCTATCTATCCCTGTGTTTTTGGAGTCATATACAAAAACTTATTGCCTAGAACAATTTCAGGAGGGTTTTTTCCCCATGTTTTCTTCTAGCAGTTTTGCAGTTTTATATCTTACATTTAAACCTTTAATAGGCCAGGCATGGTGGCTCATGTCTGTAATCTCAGCAATTTGGGAGGTCAAGGTGTGTGGATCACCTGTGGGCAGGAGTTCAAGACCAGCCTGGCCAACATGGTGAAACTCTGTCTCTACTAAAAATACAATAATTAGCTAAGCATGGTGGCACATACCTGTAGTCCCAGCTACTTGGGAGGCTGAGGCAGGAGAATTGCTCGAACCTGGGAGGAGGAGGCTGAAGCGAGCCAAGATCACATCACAGCACTCCAGCCTGGGCAACAGAGCAAGATTCTGTCTCAACAACAACAACAACAACAACAACAACAACAACACACAACCTTTAATAGATAGAATTTTGAGTTGATTTTTGTGTATAGTTGCTATGGTCAGAATGTGTCCCCCCAGAATTTGTATGTTGAAACCTAAAACCCAGCGTGATAGTACTTAAAGGTGGGAACTTTAGGAGGTATTAGGGTGTATAAAAGTTCTGTAGAGAAGTAGGTAGGCCCTTTTTGTCCTTCCACCTTCTGCTCTGTGAGGATGCAGAAAGGAGGCACCATATTGGAAGCAGAGAGTTTCCCTCATCAGACACTGAATCTGCTGGCACCTTGATCTTGAACTTCCCAGACTCCAGAACTGTAAGAAATACATTTTTGTTTTTATAAATTACAGTCTAGGTTATTTTGTTATAACAGTACGAATAAACTAAGACAATGGTGTAAAATATTTTTTAAAAATCCCATGTTCAGTAGCATTAAAGATACTTAGTAATAAATTTAACCAAGAAAGTAAAAGAGCTGTACCCTGAAAACTATAAAACAGTGATGAAATAAATTGAAGAAGTCACAAATAAATAGAAAGATATTCCATGTCCAAAAATTTGAAGTATTATTGTTGTTCAAATGTCCATACTACCCAAATTGCCCTACAGATTTTGTCAACCCTTATCAAAATTCCAATGACATTTTTCACAGACAAAGAAGAAAAAAAAACCACCAAAGCTGAAAGCATCACACTACCTGACCTCTAAATTTACTACAAAAGTATAATAATTAAAACAGCATGGTACTGGTATAAAAAAGGACATATGGATCAGTGGAACAGAATACAGAATCCAGAAATATATCTATACATTTATAGTCAATTGATCTTCAACAAAGATACTAAGAACACACAATGGAGAAAGGATAGCACCTTCAAGAAATTGTGTTGTGAAAACTGGATATCCTTATGTAGGAATTAATATGGGCAGTTTTTTATTTTATTTTATTTTATTATTATTATACTTTAAGTTTTAGGGTACATGTGCACAATGTTCAGGTTAGTTACATATGTATACATGAGCCATGCTGGTGTCCTGCACCCATTAACTCGTCATTTAGCATTAGGTATATCTCCTAATGCTATCCCTCCCCCACCCCCCACCCCACAACAGACCCCAGAGTGTGATGTTCCCCTTCCTGTGTCCATGTGTTCTCATTGTTCAATTCCCACCTATGAGTGAGAATATGCAGTGTTTGGTTTTTTGTCCTTGCGATAGTTTACTGAGAATGATGATTTCCAATTTCATCCATGTCCCTACAAAGGACATGAACTCATCATTTTTTATGGCTGCATAGTATTCCATGGTGTATATGTGCAACATTTTCTTAATCCAGTCTATCATTGTTGGACATTTGGGTTGGTTCCAAGTCTTTGCTATTGTGAATAGTGCCGCAATAAACATACGTGTGCATGTGTCTTTATTGCAGCATGATTTATAGTCCTTTGGGTATATACCCAGTAATGGGATGGCTGGGACAAATGGTATTTCTAGTTCCAGATCCCTGAGGAATCGCCACAGTGACTTCCACAATGGTTGAACTAGTTTACAGTCCCACCAACAGTGTAAAAGTGTGCCTATTTCTCCACATCCTCTCCGGCACCTGTTGTTCCCTGACTTTTTAATGATTGCCATTGTAACTGGTGTGAGATGGCATCTCATTGTGGTTTTGATTTGCATTTCTCTGATGGCCAGTGATGGTGAGCATTTTTTCTTGTGTCTTTTGGCTGCATAAATGTCTTCTTTTGAGAAGTGTCTGTTCATGTCCTTCGCCCACTTTTTGATGGGGTTGTTTGTTTTTTTCTTGTAAATTTGTTTGAGTTCATTGTAGATTCTGGATATTAGCCCTTTCTCAGATAAGTAGGTTGCGAAAATTTTCTCCCATTTTGTAGGTTGCCTGTTCACTCTGATGGTAGTTTCTTTTGCTGTGCAGAAGCTCTTTAGTTTAATTAGTACCCATTTGTCAATTTTGGCTTTTGTTGCCATTGCTTTTGGTGTTTTAGACATGAAGACCTTGCCCATGCCTATGTCCTGAATGGTAATGCCTAGGTTTTCTTCTAGGGTTTTTATGGTTTTAGGTCTAACGTTTAAGTCTTTAATCCATTTTGAATTAATTCTTTTGTATGAGGTGTAAAGAAGGGATCCAGTTTCAGCTTTCTACATATGGCTAGCCAGTTTTCCCAGCACCATTTATTAAATAGGGAATCCTTTCCCCATTGCTTGTTTTTCTCAGGTTTGTCAAAGATCAGATAGTTGTAGATATGCGGCGTTATTTCTGAGGGCTCTGTTCTGTTCCATTGATCTATATCTCTGTTTTGGTACCAGTACCATGCTGTTTTGGTTACCGTAGCCTTGTGGTATAGTTTGAAGTCAGGTAGCGTGATGCCTCCAGCTTTGTTCTTTTGGCTTAGGATTGACTTGGCAATGCGGGCTCTTTTTTGGTTCCATATGAACTTTAAAGTAGTTTTTTCCAATTCTGTGAAAAAAGTCTTTGGTAGCTTGATGGGGATGGCCTTGAATCTATAAATTACCTTGGGCGGTATGGCCATATTTATGATATTGATTCTTCCTACCCATGAGCATGGAATGTTCTTCCATTTCTTTGTATCCTCTTTTATTTCATTGAACAGTGGTTTGTAGTTCTCCTTGAAGAGGTCCTTCACGTCCCTTGTAAGTTGGATTCCTAGGTATTTTATTCTCTTTGAAGCAATTGTGAATGGGAGTTCACTCATGATTTGGCTCTCTGTTTGTCTGTTATTGGTGTATAAAAATGCTTGTGATTTTTGTACATTGATTTTGTATCCTGAGACTTTGCTGAAGTTGCTTATCAGCTTAAGGAGATTTTGGGCTGAGACAATGGGGTTTTCTAGATGTACAATCATGTCATCTGCAAACAGGGACAATTTGACTTCCTCTTTTCCTAATTGAATACCCTTCATTTCCTTCTCCTGCCTAATTGCCCTGGCCAGAACTTCCTAATATGGGCAGTTTTTATAAGTTGTTTCTGAGAGCCACATTTATTTTAAAAGTACAAAGTAAGTATAGATCAGAATGATCTAAGACAGGATTGACAAAATGAAAGCCGGAGAGCTAAAGGGGGCCAGCAGATATGAAGAGATATATAGGAACTTTCTGTACTTTCTTCTCTGTTTTTCTATAAGATTAAAACTTCTTTTAAAAATGAATTCTATTAATTAAAAAGATAAAAAATGATTACAAATGTCCTTAGAAAAAGCCAGCCCAATTAGAGAGTGAACCAGTACTATCCTGGTAATGAGCTTCTTCACATTATTACTGCCTAGCACTGAAGATGTAATGTTTCTTAAAATGATCCTTCAGTGAATGAAGCACATTGATTTTAACAGAATATTTTGGAGAAACATGGTTCCCTCGTGCCTGGAGAAGCAGGATATATACAAATTTTGTGAGGCCATGAAAGCTGGACCAAGAAGGAAATTTTTTTTTTCTGTTATAAATGGGAAGTCAAATTTTTTAGCCAGAGAATAATAATCTTTAAGTGCCAACAATAAACAAACAAAAATAAAATACTGCTAAAATCAAATGCAAAGTTGTAAATCAATTTTAAAAATGGCTATTACATTTGGTGTGTAAAAATTAATAGGAAAAAATACTCAGCAAAGGAACAGATGGGTTTTGAAAGATGTTTGAATGTGTCTGGATCATAATAGACTTTAAATTTGTGACTGAGTAACGAATTAGGGGTCAAGGTAATCATTGAAATAAGAAAGAAGAATGGTGTTTCTTGGTCTTAAGCTATCTAGAGTGGTTAACATCTTTCCCCTACTGAAAACCAAACTTTCTTTTTAAAGAGAAATATGCAAGAACTACCACTTACAAGGATTTCACGTCACAATTCTGAACAGTTTTCTGTCTACAAATGTTGGAAACTGTCATTAAACCTTTGTTTTGGTGGCTACTGAGTAAGTGGGGGCTGTTCTGAGAATGCCAGGAGAAGTAGGTTGACTTTAAATAGGCATCAGTCCACTTAGTCACACCTATACAGACTGACATTGAATTTTTCAGTGACAATCCAGTCCCAAAAAACAGCAATGTTCACTGTAGCTCCAGGTGCTCATTTTTGTCTGTTGCTTTAAAGGTGGCTGAAGATAAAGAAATATATAAAATCCACCAAACAAAAAGGAAGAGGAGAAAGGTAGTGCAAAATCAGTGAAAAGGATAGATACGAGATTCTCTTAAAGATGAATTTGTTGTAAGAATCACATTTATGGGTGAAGCCAGTAAAAGCCCACAAGGGGAATATGAAGGAAGAACATTGATAATAAACTCATTAGGAATGTCTCCAAAGAATGTCTGTGTAGTAATTCAAATTCTAAGAATGCATTGGTATGATATTAGCTTCAGATATGGGGCAATATGTAGGGCATTTGGGGAGTTACCAAGGGAAATTAGGAGACAGCTATTGGAAAGAAATTGCTGCAGGTAAACCAAAGATTGAGAAGATGCAAATGCAGTCTTGAAATGAAAAGTTAGCAATGAAATCTATTGTACCTCATATGCTTCAGTCTCTGTAAAACAGTTTTTTTTTTTTTTATCTCAATACCTAAATCAAGTTTCTTATCTAGGGGACTCATAACTCTGTGCTAGTCACAAGTATTTGGAGAATAGCTCCAAATTGCAAGCATCCACACTAATGTTTCCGTTTATTTATGAGAGTGTTAACTGCATAGAGGAGAATAAAGCTAGAGGGAAATAAGCATATTAACTAATACCCAAATATGGCTGCCATTTTTCTAGTCCCTTTGAACATTTTTAATGGACAAAGTATAAAATAGAGAAAAATAATTCCTTCGCTACAGGGAAAAGCCTCAATCTTTTCAGTTTGTACTTTCTCTTAAATCTCTGCCTAGTTTATGTTATCTAACTTTATTTTGTCAACATTCATTTTTCTAATTTTTGTTCCCATGTTCACATCTGTTTTCTTTAATTCTTTCTTGGAGATTCTATTCCACCTAACCTCCAAGTTTTCTTGTCTCTCTGCCTTTCTTCTTTGTTTTTCTCAGTGAAACTTCCTTTCCAAACAAGAAATGTTTGTTTTATTTGTGAATATCGGTAAAAAACAAATAGAAAAAGTTAACAGTGGAAATGCAATTCCAGGGCAATATATTTTTCTCATGTTAATTGGCTTTACTTGATATTCTTCTGTTTTCACTGGGATCTTAGTTGCACCTGCTCTAAAATATGGTAACCATTCCCATAACATTTTCTTCAAATCAAGCTACTTGAGGCAACTTGCCAGAAACTTACCTTAAAATGTTTGGATTAAAATGCATATGGAAATAACTACCTGCCCACTCTCACTTTCATGCCCACCACAACACAAAGTTTATTTGTGTTAGTAGTCATAACTAATGTTTATATTGTGTCTTCTCTCCAATTAGCCAAGAACCGTGAGTAATTCATACACATTCTCCTTTTTTTTAGGACTTTGATAGACAGAATTCTAAAGATGTGTTTCTAAGATTGCCATCCCCTAGTGATTTGAACAAACATGAATCTAGGTACTACAGAAAAGAGGCTTTGGAAATAAAATTAAGGTTAATAATTACCTGACCTTAAAAAAAGGAAGATTATCCTGGATTATTCTGCTAGATCCAGTGCAATCACATAGGACTTAAAAGCAGAAGAGAAAGGTTGTAGAGTCTGTCAGAGAGATGTGGAAGAATAGACAAACAGAGAAGATATGAGGTAGAGGGGGACGTCATGGAGATTCAAAATTTGAAAAGGATTCCACTCACTGTTGCTGGCTTTGAAGATAGGGGAAAGGGGTCAAGGACTAAGGAATGCAGGTGACTTCTGGAAGCTGCAAATGACCCCTGAGCAAGAGACAGCAAGGATATGGGAAATTCCATCTTACAACCACAAGTAACTGAATTCTAACAACAATATGAATGAGCTTATAAGGGGATTCATCCCCAGAGCTCCTGGAAAATAACATCTTGATTTTGGCCTATGAAATGTGGAGCAGGGAGCCAGCTATGGCACATTGTGCCTGAACTCCTGACTTATAGAAAATTGTGAAATAATAAATTCATGCTGTTTTAATTATGTTTGTGGTAATTTGTTATGACAAAGATAGAATGGGATAAGTTAGGCATGCAGAACATTTTAACTGAACATTCATTATATCCAAGTATCTGTGCTAGCTACTGTAAGGATAGGGCAACAAAAGACAAAGATAATATTTGCCCTTCCTGTGCCTTTATTCTAGTGGGAAGGACTGTATATATATGTATGTACATACACATACACATATACATTTATATTACCTAGGGAGGATGTGTTTGGTGAGCATTAAGAAGAGAAAAGGGTATCAAACAGAATAACTTCAGTTACTGTGCTTCATGAATGGCTAGTCCGGGTTCTTGGAGACTGCCTTTTATACTTTGTACTTTTGTCCAAAATTGTGATACTTGTAATGAAGTGATTGTTATTTCCAAGGCATTTTAATTAATTTTTTAAAGCTATGCACATCTTTTAAAGTGTTTATCATAGATCAGAAGATGGTAAGCTCTTTTTTACTTCATGCCACACTGAGGCTCTCATGTCAAGTAGAATATTAAAATGCTGAATGTAGCTCTCTAGCTCTCTTCAGCGCATTTAGGTCACACTTAGGCTGTTAAGTTCTAAATTATTTTCAGCTGGTAATATTCTATCCTTTAATTTCTGGAATAAACCAAATCAAAATCATTTTTTCTAGATAAAATTTATGTGTGTATCTATCTGTATGTGTTTGTGTGTGTATATATATATATACACACACACACATACATTAAATGAGTAGGTGTGTATATATACATGTTTACTCATTTAATTTAATATTTCTGAAAATTTTTATTTTTTGATTGAAATTTTTCTCGAATAGAGACAAAAGTCAGATAATTTCTATAACTTCTTTCCACTCCCTCCACCACTCCAAATGAAAAAAATAAAAGAAATAAGGTAGTTTCTATGCTTTCACAAAGAAGATGTATAAATTCTGCCCTTAGTTTTTTCCTAGAGAAGAGGGACTCACAGGTTAGTTGCAAATATTTTGGGTGGGGGAGGACAGGAAAAGAGAAAATAATGGTAATTATTGTGGAGGTGAGGAAGAGGTGATTGTGAATATTCTTCTACCCTCACTTCTACCTGTTTCATTCTGGGTACAACCTAGTTTACATGACCACCAACCTGAAAAACATTCGATTATTCAAAGTCTTTTGAATTACTTGTAGGGCCTTTGAGAATATCCCATAGTCTCTTCACTTTTTATTCTACTTGAAAACAAGGAGAAAAAGAAACAGACTTTGAGATATTGCAAGCCCATATTGCAAACATTTTTAACTATACACCAGGAACTTTGCATTCTGTGAACCTGTTCCTCATGTACCCATTGTATGTAAATTCTAATCTATATAAACGCTGAAAAAATAACCTCTGATGAAATCATAAAACAAAAAATAAAAACATAAGAAGTACACCATACAAAACACAGGGAAACTATTGAAAAAGTGTTCTAAATTACGTTTTGTTTTCATCCTAAAACAGAATAATCTCTTGTGGTCTGTGCCAATCATTTACTAATAGTTTCATGGATGTGTGTGTCTTATCCCTAAGATTACTAGTCAACTTCTTGTGGGCATTATCTTCTGGTTTGTACATCATTGTACCTGACACATTTTGGATATCAAAGGGTCTAGAAGAGGAATTTTTAGTATGATTTCCACAAAACCTTAGGTGGCTCATCAATGGGCGATAAGTGCTCTGTGAATATACTGGTAATTGTATGTAAAATTGTGCCTCTGTATATGTGTGCCTTTTTGAAGAGAAAAAGTCAATAGTTTTCATCAGCTTCTGAAATAAATTTCTACCTTCAAAAGTGATAAGATCTTATCTAATGCCTCTTTGTCTAATCCTTTCAATTTGAGGCAATGTAATCTTCAACTATATTTTTCTCTTAGAACTCTTAACGAACAGCTTCCTGCATTCTAGATCTACTTACTACTACTGCCTTTGCTGGCAATGTGAACTTCAACAAATTCAGTATTGCAACACCCTCAGTCAGGCTGAGTCAGCTGATTTGAAACATGCAAAAATAAACATTTTAAAACATCAAAATATTAAAAACATTTTAAAACATAAATTCTTCAATCAATCAGTCACCAGCACTTAAAATTGTAAACACTAGCATCACTCTATATGAGTGTCTTGGGGTAAAGTTGACAATAGTGTTGATTAAAATATAGATATGTTATAGCTGGGATAAACTTAACTAACTATAAATAATTATTCATTATCTTTGATCATTCTATATAGTTCCTTATTAAGTTTATATCAGTTAAGTTTTTTTAAAAATTAATTCAAGTATAATTACATAAACCTCACAAATCTTAAATGGAGAGCTCAACTGATTATTACATTTATATACACCTATGTAAGCATGAACCCATACAGATACAGAACATTTCCAACATCCCAGGAAGCCCTATTAGGTCTCCTCCCAGTCAGTACTCCTTCTTCAAAGTTAATTACTCTTCTGATTTCAATCAAGAACAATAACTTTTGCTGCAGAACATGTATGTTTAAGTTTAAACTGGGGGTGGTGGCTAAAAAAAATGAGGGAAGCCTTGGGAGGGGTTTCTGGGTACCCAGATGTGAATTTTAGAAAAAGAAAAAAGAAATAAAAGATAATTATTGCTTACTTCTCTACTTCGGAGTGTTATAGCTCAATTAATAGAGATGGAAACATTTTGCAAAGATCACATAGCATGCTTGTGAAAGATATAAGACATATCCAATTTGCACACAGGTTGTATCCCAAAAGCTCATTTATAAATTAATCACTTGAAACTTGGAATTAATTCCCTATATGTCATAAATGTCATAAATGATGGTTAGGATCCCATGTTACTTATATAAGCCTATATTAAGCAGAATGTGTCTGAAACACTGCACATTTATAATGAAAAATGGGTTCAAACATACAACACATAATTAAGCAAAACAAAATGAATAATTGTTCCTATTTATCTTAATGTTGATACTTTAGAAAAGCTAGGTTTAATTAGAGCAGATATATGGCATTAATTTATTTGTGGCTTGAAAAGACTTTAGGAGCATTTTTAAATACTTTGGATGATGTTTTCCTTTATTTTATTTTTCTACTTTTACTCTGAAAATACTATCACTTCCTTTTACCCTGATAGAGATTAATCACTAATCCTAGGCCTGTATTCATCTGCCATTTACGACCAGATAAATGGTTCAAGCAGAGACTTCAGTGAAAAGAGAACAGTATCAACATTGTATACCTCCTTATTCACAATCTCTTTCCTTTTTTGGAAAAGGATGTGGAAGACGGCGTTAGGAATTGTGCCTCTAAGCCTTCCAACTCCAAAAGTCTCATTGACTAAGGGTCCCAGTATTGGGCTCAGAAATATATCAGCAAACTTGTGCTGAAATCATGGTTCCTACAGGTTGCTCCTAGTCAACGACTATGCTCTGCTGAGGTACTCATGGTCCTGTAAGACACGGGATACCTCTGCTCTACTGACTGACTGGCTACAGGACTCCCTGATGGCATTGCTGAAGGTGCTCTAAACTACAAGACAGAGTAGAAACTTACACCCAACCTTCCCTCCCTCTCTTCTTCACTCAGGCTCAGACTTGCATTGCAGTGTGACAGCTCTCTTGATCTTCCCCAGCTGCTTTCTCACTTTTCTCTCACAAGGTTTCCTCTAATAAAGTCTTTGTATATTTTATCCCATCTTGGCATCTGCTTCTCGGAGACCCATACTAACATAGAAATGTTCTCTATTTAGGAGTTGCAATAAGTCTGGGAGGGTTAAATGAAAACCAGTTGGGAATAAAGTAATGGAACAGAAGTATGTGTTCTATAAGAGTCTAAGAAGAAAATGTGTAAGGAATTCTTAGGGCTTTTCTTTCAGCTAGTCTAGGGAATTAGGAAATAGTCAAGGGTTTCAGCAGAAGAACAAATTAGGAATATAGAGTATGAGTTCCATGGCCATATGTCCAATGTTATGTCTGCCAGGAAAGTAAGCAAGGCACCATGTGAGTGGAATATAGGTTGAACAGAAAAGATTGTAACTTTGAAGTATGTATACAGGGATGGAAAATTAAAAGAAACATGATGGAATACATTGGCATGTAGGGGCAGTGGAGGACTTCACAAAGCAGATTTACTTTTGTGACTTGAAGCTCAAATTAAAGAATAAGGCTTACATCCTGGAAAAACGATCATGGTTAATGTGCTTTATGTCAGTGGGGGTAAAGGGGTATTGTTTTCCAACACTCCTTCATTGAGGACATAAAGTAATTAATCAAAACCAATTCTCACCAGGGAGAGTTAAATAATCATAAAAATATCTAATACCAGAAATGAAACTCGTGTCACTCTCCAAGTTCCTAATGTTGCAATTCTGAATTGCATGTGAGATTTGACCAAGGAGAAAGCCTGTGTGTGTGTGCGTGTGTGCGTGTGTGTGTGTGAGAGAGAGAGAGAGAGACCTGGACATCCAAAATATAAATTTTTAGCAGTTTTACCTTCTCACTCTTCCCTATTTCTGTCTGGTGGAACTCTAAAGTTCGAATGTCTGTTGCCTTCATGCTGTGGCTCCTCAGCTCAGGGAACAGTTGCTGGGATACAAATGAAAAGTTTTGATGCAGCATAGTTGTAAGATATGGGAGGGACACATCACATACTTTTTTTTGAGAATTATCTGGCCATGCACAATCTCCCTGGGGGCACCTTTCAAGTATTTAATATATGCCATTAGGGAACTTATAAGAATCTAATCAGCACCCTGTCCAGTTTTGCTGTTACTGTTGTTGTTGCTGCTATTATTGCTTGTTTGTGTCCCTGTCAGGTCCTAAATTTCTTACCTAAACTTATTTCACTTGGTAGCCAAAACTTTTAATATATGTGTCACTGAAAGGTCCTCCTAAGCCAGTGAAAATCAAAACTTGCTCCTCCGTAAATATTATACCTTTCTTCAGTTTTAAATTCCCTGAGCTTGACTAAGGTTCTCAACTCTGTTAGGAATACATATGTCTCTAGTCACGATGAACTCTCTATATGCCACTATAAAAACTTAGCATTTTAAAAAGTAGCAAAGAGGTATAGCTTATAAGTTAATATTGGAAATAAAATGGAATTTAAAAACCACCTATTTAATTTCAAAATGGTGAGAAAAGAGGAAAAAAGAAAGAAGAGATAGATGGGATAAAAAAGAAACCCAACTATTTCAGTTATATTAAATGTCAGCAGTGTAAACATTCCAATCAAATGCGGAAATTGTCAGAAGAAATGAGAAGACCTAAATACATATTGTCTACAGATAATGCACATTAACAATAAAAATACAGATGAATTGACAGAAAAATATAAGGAAATACATACCATAGAAAACAATAGTCATAAGAAAGTTGGAGTGGGCTGGGCACAGTGGCTCACACCTATAATACCAGCACTTTGGGAGGCCAAGGTGGGAGGATTGCTTGAGCCCAGGAGTTCGAGACCAGCCTAGGCAACATGATGAGACCTCAACTCTATAGCAAAAAATGTTTTTGGAAAGTTGGAGTGCATATATAAATATTAAATAAAGCTGGCTTCAGGATGAGAAATATCAACAGAGTTCAATTAAAAAAACTTGGTACAGGGATAAAAAATAAATTCATAAAAAGAGATAATAATCTAAAACGTTTATGTGCCTAATTATAGAGCTTCAAATGGATAAAATAGATCAAACCTGTGAAATCTAAGAGGAAACATAAATAAATTTATAATTATAAATTGAGATTTCTACATTTCTTTCTCGGTAATGATTAGGGGTATACTGAAAACCTTAAAAATACATAAAATGAAAGTAACTCAAACAACTTGAATTAGTTGACAGTTTTAGGCCATTGCACACAGAAATTCTATGATAAATATTTTGTTGAAAAAGATATAATTCATAAAGATAAACTGTATGCTGGCTCATCAAAAAGGTCTTAATATATTTCAAAAACTAAAATCTTACAATATGATATATTCACTGACCACAGTGAAATTAAATTAGAATTTAATAAGAATAGATTACCTAGAAAATCTACCAATATTTAAAAAATAAGCAATATATTTTGAAAATAACTGAAGCGTCAAAAATTACAAGGGAAATTAATAAAGTTTTCTAACAGACTGATAATGAAAATTCTGTATATGAAATTTATGAAATACAGCTAATGCATAGTTTAGAAAGAAATTTATAATTTTAAATGCATACTCTAGATGGAAGGTCTAAAATCAAAAATATGCCATTATACCTTAAGTTACACAATAAAAAGCAGAGCAAATAAAAAGTAAGCAGAAAGGAGAAAGTGATAAAGTTAAAAGCAGAAACAAACAAAAAATGCCTAGAAAAATGTGGAAAATTCAATGAAACCAAAAGCTTCTCCTTTAAAAAGATCAATACAATTGATGACCATTTAGTTAACGTGATGAAGAAAAAAAGCAGAAAGATATAAATTACTAAAATTTTGAATAAAAGAGAGTACAAAATTAGAAATGTTATAGATATTAAGTGAGAATAAAGAACCATAATGATCAAACTTATGCCAAAAAATTTTGATGATGTAGGTAAAATTAAAGTTTCTGGAAGGACTCAAATTACTGAATATGGTATAAGAAAATATAGAAAAATCTGAATAGTTCTGCATCTATTGAGGTAATTAAATCCATAATTTAAAAGGCATCCTGAAATAAAACCTTGACACTTACATCACTTTATTGGTGAATTATATTAGGCATTTAAGAAAAAAATTATAACAACAATACAGAAACTTCTACAGAAAGCAGAAGGGGAGGCAATATTTCCCAACTCATATCATGAGGCCAGTTTTGTGGTGATATCAAACCTAAAAATATCACAACCAAAGAAACTACAGATATCCCCAGTGAATTCAGGTGAGAAAATCCCCAACAAAATTTTAGTTAATTATATCCATCAATATATAAAAAGGATAACATATCATGACTGAATACAGTTTCACTGAAAATATAAGGCTGATTAAACATCCAGAAATCAATTATAATTCAGCATATTAATAGAATAAAGCAGTAAAATATATAATAAATTTAATAGATGCAGAAAATGCATTTCAAAAATTCAATACTCATTTAATTTGTTTTAGAATTGAAAGTCTTAGGAAAGAACATTTAAAGAAAACTTCTACAATCTGATCAAAGATATTTGAAAGACATACAAAATTATACTTAATTATTAAAGGCTCAAATATCTTAATCTAATATCAGGAACCAGGCAAAGTTTTAAGCAACATTACAATATCATTTTTATCCAATGAAAAGTGGCAAGATAGAGAAACTGAAAAATTATATATATGAGAAAAGAAGAAATAGGACTATCTGAAAATGACAGGACTATATACATAGGAAAATGTGGTTAACTAAAAATATGCTACTAAAATAATCAGTGAATGTATGAGTATTGCATATGAAAGGTCAATAAAGATATATTAATTGTATTTTATATACTTGCTATGAATAATTACCAAAAGAAATTTCAAAAATTAACTCCATTTACAATGGTATAAAAAATACTGAAGAATAAAATTAGAAATTCTGTGCATGGTCTATACAGTGACAATGACAAAACATGATAAAGGAAAATAAAAAGTATAAATTTCTTAAACACAACAAAAAAGCATGAATTATAAAATAAAAAAATGAACAAAATTAAAAATACCTTTTGTTATTTTAAAAATAGTTAAAGAAAAGATAAAGACAAGCTACTGACTAACAGAAAATATATTACAAAATATATTATCTGACAAAGGTCTTGAATATAGAACATAAAATCTCTTCCAACTTAATAAGAAGATGGTACCATTTAAAATGAACATATAATTTGAGGAGACATTTCACAAAAGAAGATAAATGAATGAGCAATGAGCACATGAAAATATATTCAATTAGGCTTTATGAAAATGGAAATCTAAACCACAATGGGATACTAATATATAACCATTAGGCTAAAGTTAAAATAACTGACAAAACCAAGTGTTGACAAGGAGATGGAACAACTGGAACTTTTATATCTTGCTGGTAGGAATGCAAAATGGTAGTGTCACTGTGAAAACAGCATGGCAGTATCTTAGGAAGGTTAAATAAACATTTATCATCTGATGCAATAATCCTACTGCTAGATAGTTTTCTGAAGAGAAATGGAAACACTGGTTCATACAAACATGTCTATTTAAATCTTCATACCAGAATTACTTATAGCACTGAACTAGAAATACTGCAGAGTGGGAGAATATATTTTCAATACATGTATCTCACTAATGACTTATATTCAGAATATGTTTTTTAAAAACCTATGAGACAATACCAAAAAAAACACGACCGAATAAAAATGGCCAAAAGATGTAAACATCACAAAACTAAATATTTGTGACCATAAACCACTTGAAAAACTGCTCAACCTAATTAGTCCACAGATGAAGTGCAGACTGAAATCACAATGGGACACCATTCCATATTCAGTGAAATAGCTAAAAACAAGCAAACAAATAATAAATAACAAAACAAAACTGATAGCAATTTTTGGCAAATATATGAGTAACTGATAGTCTCATACATTGCTTGTGGGAAGGTAAAAATGGCACAACAATTTTTAAAAGCATTCCTATAAAATACACAGCTATTCTACTCCACTCCTGAGTAAGGAAAAGAAAATGAAAACGCACGTTCACAAAAGCTGTGTATATAATAGGCTTATAGTGTCTTTCTCCATAATAGTTCCAAAATGGAAACAACTCAAATGTTAATTAATAAAATAAGGAATACATTGGGTAATATTTATGTAAAATGATACTACTAAAGATAAAAAGAAGCGAAACTACAGTTACATGCAAAAACATAGATGGATCTGAAATATATATTGAGATAAAAGTCAGAAACAAAAGCACACATTATACAAAGTTGAAGAATAGGCAAAACTACCCTTCTATAGAAGAATTTAGAAAACATATGCCTGTAACATAGTATTCCATGGTGTATATGGGCCACATTTTCTTAATCCAGTCTAACATTGTTGGACATTTGGGTTGGTTCCAAGTCTTTGCTATTGTGTATAGTGCCACAATAAACATACGTATGCATGTGTCTTTATAGCAGCATGATTTATAATCCTTTGGGTATATACCCAGTAATGGGATGGCTGGGTCAAATGGTATTTCTAGTTCTAGATCCCTGAGGAATCGCCACACTGACTTCCACAATGGTTGAACTAGTTTACAGTCCCACCAACAGTGTAAAAGTGTTCCTATTTCTCCACATCCTCTTCAGCACCTGTTATTCCCTGACTTTTTAATGATCGCCATTCTGACTGGTGTGAGATGGTATCTCATTGTGGTTTTGATTTGCATTTCTCTGATGGCCAGTGATGATGAGCATTTTTTCACGTGTTTTTTGGCTGCATAACTGTCTTCTTTTGAGAAGTGTCTGTTCATGTCCTTCGCCCACTTTTTGATGGGGTTGTTTGTTTTTTTCTTGTAAATTTGTTTGAGTTCATTGTAGATTCTGGATATTAGCCCTTTGTCAGATGAGTAGATTGCAAAAATTTTCTCCCATTCTTTAGGTTGCCTGTTCACTCTGATGGTAGTTTCTTTTGCTGTGCAGAAGCTCTTTAGTTTAATTAGATCCCATTTGTCAATTTTGGCTTTGTTGCCATTGCTTTTGGTGTTTTAGACATGAAGTCCTTGCCCATGCCTATGTCCTGAATGGTAATGCCTAGGTTTTCTTCTAGGGTTTTTATGGTTTTAGGTCTAACATTTAAGTCTTTAATCCATCTTGAATTAATTTTTGTATAAGGTGTAAGGAAGAGATCCAGTTTCAGCTTTCTACATATGGCTAGCCAGTTTTCCCAGCACCATTTATTAAATAGGGACTCCTTTCCCCATTGCTTGTTTTTCTCAGGTTTGTCAAAGATCAGATAGTTGTAGATATGTGGCATTATTTCTGAGGGCTCTGTTCTGTTCCATTGATCTATATCTCTGTTTTGGTACCAGTACCATGCTGTTTTGGTTACTGTAGCCTTGTAGTATAGTTTGAAGTCAGGTAGTGTGATGCCTCCAGCTTTGTTCTTTTGGCTTAGGATTGACTTGGCAATGCGGGCTCTTTTTTGGTTCCATATGAACTTTAAAATAGTTTTTTCCAATTCTGTAAAGAAAGTCGTTGGTAGCTTGATGGGGATGGCATTGAATCTGTAAATTACCTTGGGCAGTATGGCCATTTTCATGATATTGATTCTTCCTACCCATGAGCATGGAATGTTCTTCCATTTGTTTGTGTCCTCTTTTATTTTGTTGAGCAGTGGTTTGTAGTTCTCCTTGAAGAGGTCCTTCACATCCCTTGTAAGTTGGATTCCTAGGTATTTTATTCTCTTTGAAGCAATTGTGAATGGGAGTTCACTCATGCTTCTGTCCTTTGTAGGGACATGGATGAAGCTGGAAACCATCATTCTCAGCAAGCTATCACAAGGACAAAAAACCAAACACCGCATGTTCTCACTCATAAGTGGGAATTGAACAATGAGAACATATGGACACAGGAAGGGGAACATCACACACCAGGGCTTGTTGTGGGGTGGGGGGAGGGATAGCATTAGGAGATATACCTAATGTAAATGACGAGTGAATGGGTGCAGCACACCAACATGGCACATGTATACATATGTAACAAACCTGCACACATTGTGCACATGTACCCTAAAATTTAAAGTATAATAAAAAAAATAAAAATAATTGTAAGAGAAATACATTTGTTGGAAAAAATTTTTTAACCGTACAGAAGATTACTAAGGTTATTATTCATTCTTATGATTTACTCAAGGCATACATAATTTTCACTAATAGATGTAACACTATTAATTTTAATATATTAACATTAATGTTTTCTATTTGTATTTTCTTCTTCATAAAAGAATTATATTGTCCATATTGTTCTGTAATTTTCTTTGGGCATTTTATATATATATACATACACACACAAACACACACACACATACACACTTAATTTCTTTTAATGACTCATCAATATTCTGTTATATGGATGTGTATCGTATATTATTTAGCCAGTACCCTGATGATGGCAAGATAGGTGATTTTCAAGTTTTCGTTACCACAGCAATTCTCTAATAAATATTCTTACAGTAAAAAAAAAAAGAAAAGAAAACATGTGCCTGTAACAAAATATTATATATTAGAATAGTGTATCCCTATAGGGATTGAAAGAAAGGGTAGTAGCGAATTTCTTGGTGGTAATGCAAATTTTCTGTTTTTAATTGTGGTAGCTTTGTATAAATTTATCAAAACATTAAAATGGTGCTCTTAAATCTGGATATATATATAAACTTTATAAATATTTTTTAAAACAGTGAAGATAATGATAATTATAAAAATAATAATAGCAATCAGCAGTTATTGAAACTTCTCAGTGTTTCTCACATTGTGCTTTAAAGTGTTGGATAACGTAATTTTTTTTTTCTTTTTTGGAGACAGAGTTTTGTTCTTGTCATGGAGGCTGGAGGACAATGGTACGATCTTGGCTCACTGCAACCTCCACCTCCCAGGTTCAAGCAATTCTCCCACCTCAGCCTCCCTGGTAGCTGGGATTACAGGCATGTGTCACCACGACCAGGTAATTTTTGTTTTTAGAGTGGAGGGAGCTTCACCATGTTGGACAAGCTGGTTTCGAACCCCTGAGCTCAGGTGATCTGCTTGCCTTGGCCTCCCAAGGTGCTGGGATTACAGGCGTGAGCCACCATGCCTACATTGGATAATATAATTCTAACCTCAATATAATATAAACCATCTGAGTTTTATATTATGATTATTTACTATTATTACTATTTTACAGATAATCAAACTGAGGATCAAAGAGATTAAATGATTTTTCCAAAGCTATACAAATAGTAAATTATGAAATCACAAATTGAACCCATATGATCATCTACCTCTGGACTCTGTCACCCAGGCTGGAGTGCAGTGACATGATCTTGGCTCACTGCAACACGCCCGGCTAATTTTTGTATTTTTAGTAGAGACAGATTTTTCAGCATGTTGGCCAGGCTGGTCTCAAACTCCTGGCCTAAGCCTCCCAAAGTGCTGGGATTACAGGCTTGAGCCACCATGCCTCACCGTCTATTGCCTCTTGAAAGTAATGCCGGTTCATAGTAAAAGAGTTCAAATAATAAAACTGAAAGTCTCATCTCCTCATCCATCCTACTTATTAACTACTATATACACAGATTTTTCAGCTTTCTTGAAACAAAATTCCCCTTTTTTTTCTTTTGTGTCTGGCTTAATTTATTTTTCAACTTATTTTTACTTTTCCCTAGCTATATTGAGGTATAATTGACAAATAAAATCACATATATTTACAGCATAAAATGTGATGTTTTGTTACAGGTATACGTTGTGAAATGATTAAACGAAGTTAATTAACCTACCCATCACTTCACATTCTTGTTATTTTTTGTGGTAAGAACATTTAACATTTACTCTCAAAAGTTTTCAAAAACACAATATCTTATAATTAACTATAGTCACTAGGCTGTACAACAGATCTTCAGAATATATTCATCCTTTCTCATGAATCTTTGTATCATCTGTCCAACAACCCCTCATTCCCCACCCACCCCTCCTCCCGGCAACCACCATTCTATTCTCTGCTTCTATGGTTTGACTTTTTGTGATTCCTTATATGAGAGAATGCGGTATTTGTCTATGCCTGACTTGTTTTACTTAGCATAATGTCCTCCTTCATCCATGTTGTTGCAAATGAGAGGATTTCTTTCTTTTTAAAGGCTGAAGTGTACTCCATCATATACACACACAGGCTTGTGCACATACACACATATTTATATATACATATACCACATTTTCTTTATCCATTGATCCATTGATGGACACATACATTGATCCTACATCCTGATTATTGTAAATAACCATGCCATGAATATAGGGGTGTAGATATCGCTTCAAGATACTAATTTCATTTCCTTTGGATATACACCCATAAGTGGAATTGCTGATCATAAAGTAGTTCTATTTTTATTGTTTTCAGGATCCTCCATACTAGTTTTCATAATGGCTACCCATATACACTCCCACCAACAGTATACAAGGGTTCCCTTTTCTCTATATCCTCTCTAATACTAGGTAACTTTTGTATTTTTATTAAAAGCCATTTTAACCGGTGCAAACTGGTGTTTCATTGTGGTTTTGATTTGCATTTCCCTGATTATTAGTGATGTTGAGCATTTTTTCAGATATCTGCTGGCCATTTGTAGGTCTTCTTTTGAAAAATGTCTATTCTGGTCCTTTGTCCATATTATCATTTCATTATTTGTTTTCTTGCAATTGAGCTATTTGAAGTTCTTATATATTTTGGATATTAACCCCTTATTGGATACATGGTTTCCAAACATTGTCTACCATTTTGTAGATTGTCTCTTCATTCTGTTTATTGTTTCCTTTGCTGTGCAGGAGATTTTAGTTTGATGAAATCCCGTTTGTCTGTTGGTGCTTCTGATGCTTGTGTTTTTGGAGTCATAACCAAAATGTATTGCCCAAATCAATGTCAATCTTTGCCCTATATTTTTTTCTGGTAGTTTTACAGTTTTTAGTTTTATACTTAAGTTTTTAATACATTTGAAGTTGATTTTTGTATATGGTTTTGAAAAAGAGTTTCATTTCGTTATTATACATGTGTATATCCAGTTGTCCAACACCATTTATTGAAGAGATTGTCTTTTCCTGAGGTATGTTCTTGGCATGACTGTAAATCAATTGGCCATTAACTTGTGGATTTTTTTTCTTGGCTCTCTATTCTGCTCCATTGGTCTCTATGTCTGTTTTTATGCCAGCATCATGCTGTTATGATTACTATAACTTTGTAACATCCTTTGGTGTCAGGTAGTGTAATATCTCTAGCTTTATTCTTTTGCTAAAAAATTGCTTTGGCTACTCAGGGTTTTTGTGGCTCTCTATATATTTTAAGATTGTGTTTTCTAATACCGTAAAAAATGTCATTGGAATTTTTATAAGAATTGCCTTGAATCCATAGGTGAATTTAGGTGGTATGGGCATTGTAACAATAATAATACTGCCAATTCATGAACTTGGGGTATCTTTTCATTTGTATGTGTCTTCTCCAATTGCTTGCATCACTATTTTGTAGTTATCAGTACATAGATGTTTCACCTCTTTTTTGTTGCGTTCATTCCTAAATGTAAGTTTCTTTTTTTGCTATTATAAATGAGATTTTTAATTGTTATTTTTCATATAGTTCTTTGTTAGTATAAAAAACTACCGATTTTTGTATGCTTGCTGATTTTGTATCCTGCAACTTTACTGAATGCTTTTAGTTCTAACAGTTTTCTAATGAAGTCTTTAGGATTGTCTTCATATAAGAGTTGTCAATTATAAACAGAGACAACTGTACTTCTTCCTTTCCAATTTAAATGGTGTTATTCATTTTTGTTATCTAATTGTTCTAGGTACGCTTTCCAGTAGTATATTACATAGATATGGTGAGAGTAAAATCTTTACTGCTTGCTTTTAGTTCTAACAGTTTTCTGATGAAGTCTTTAGGATTGTCTTCATATAAGATTTGTCAGTTATAAACAGAGACAACTGTACTTCTTCCTTTCCAATTTAAATAGTGTTATTCATTTTTGTTACCTAATTGTTCTAGGTAAGCTTTCCAGTAGTATATTACATAGAGGTGGTGAGAGTAAAACCAGGCAAAGACATCACAAAGATGTCTTTTCGTAAATCTTAGAGTAATCGTTTTCAGTTTTTCACTATTGAGTATGATGCTAGCTGTGGGTTTGTCATATATGGTCTTTATTATGTTGAAATGCATTTCTTCTCTATGTAGTATGTTGAGAATTTTTATCTTGAAAAGATACCGAATTTTGTAAAATGCTTGTTCACCATCTATTGGGATGATTATATGATATTTATCTTTCATTCTGTTAAAATAATGAGTCATTTATTAATTTGTTTGTGAGCTATCATCCATCCATCCCGGGGATAAATCCCAGTTGGTCATAGTGAAGGATTCTTGTAATATGCTATTGAATTCAGTTTGCTAGTATTTTGTGGAAAATACTGAATCCATGTTCATCAAGGATATTGGCTTATAGTTTGTTTTCATTGTAGTGTCTTTGCCTGGTCTTTGTATCAAGGTGATTTTTTTTTATCATAAAAAGAGTTTGGAAGTGTTCTCCTTCATTCTATTATTTTGGAAGCGTTTAAAAAGTATTAATGTTAATTTTTCTTTAAGTATTTCATGGAATTAACCTATGAATTAATTAAGTCCTGGACTTTTCTGTGTTAAAGATTTTGATTACTGATTCAATCTCTTTATGTGTTGGTCTTTTCAAGCTTTCTATTTCATTTTGATTCATTTTTTGTAGGTTGTATGTCTCTAAGAATTTATCCATTTTTTTCTAGGTTGTCCAATTTGTTACATCTGATTGTTCATGGTGGTACCAAAATACATACATACATATATATATATATATATATATATATATATATTCAAGTTCTAATGAAATTTATTTATCATTAAACTTTTATTTTTCATTTTTGTGCATACATCTTATAATGTTTTTATGTGTTACTTGTAATGTAATTTCTCCCCTTTTCTGATTTTGAGTCTTCTCTTTTATTCTTAATCAAGGGATTCTCATTTTTAAAAATATTTTCAAAACACCAAATTTTAGTTTTATTAATCTTTTTTGTCATCATCCTAGTATCTATTTTTATATAATTTTTCTTCTTCTAATTTGGGCTTAAGTTTTAATTTTTCTAGTCCTTTTAGTTGTAAAGTTAGGTTGTTTATTTGAGAGCTTTTTCTTTCTTATTTTAGGGACTTATTGCTATAAAATTTTCTCTTAGAACTGCTTTTGCTATATCACATAAGTTTTGGTACACTGTGTTTCCACTTTAATTTGTCTAAAGTTATTTTCTAATTTTTCATTTTATTTCTTCTTTGTCCCATTTTTTTTGTTCAGAATTGTGTTGTTTAACTTCCACATAGATGTACATTTTCCAATTTTCCTCCTGTTAGTAATTTCTAGTTTCATATCATTGTGACCTGAAAAGATACCTGATGTAATTTCAATCTTTAATTTGTTAAAACTTGTTTTGTGTTCTAACATAAGATCTGCCCTGGAGAATGTTGCATATGCACTTGAAAAGAATATGTATTTTGCTGTCATTGGTTGGAATGTTTGGTGTGCTCTATATGTCTGTTAGACTTAATTGGTTGACAGTGTTGTTCAACTCTCCTGTTTCCTTACTGAATTTCTGTTGCATCACCTACCCATTGTTGAAATGAATAGTGAAATCCCCTACTATTATTGTATTACTGTCTAATTCTCTCTTAATTTCCGTTAATATTTTCTATGTATTAAGGTTCTCTTGTGTTGTGTATGTATATTTACAATTGTTATATCCTCTTGATGGATTGACATCCTTATCATTATATAATTACATCTTCATGTCTTGTAACAGTTCCTGACTTAAAGTCTGTTTTGTCTTAAATAAGTATAACCATCCCTGCTGTCTCTTGGTTAACATTTGCATGAAATATTTTTTCCATCCCTTCACTTTTTGCCTACGTGTGTCCTTAAAGCTAAAGTGAGTCTCTTATAGGAAGTATATGGTTGCATCTTGTTTTTATCCCTTCAGCCACAATGTCTTTCGAGTGGAGAATTTAGTTCATTTACATTTAAAGTAATTATTAATAGGAAAGGACTTACTGCTGCCATTTTGTTAATTGTTTTGACTATTGTGTAGTTATTTTGTTCCATTCTTCCTCTCTTGCTTTCTTCCTTTGTGATTGATTAATTTTTACAGAGTTATGCCTTCATTCCTTTATCTTTTTTGTGTGGTTTTTATCTTTGTGGTTACCATGAAGCTTAAGTAAAATATCTTACAGTAGTAACAGTCTATTTTAAGTTGATAAGAACTTAAACCACATACAAAAACTCTGCACTTTAATTTCTCCTCTCCTCAGATTTTATGTTATTAATATCACAATGTGCATCTTTTATATACCATATATTCATTAACTTATTGAAACTTAGTAATTTTGATACTTTTGTCTTTTAACTTTTATACTAAAAGTGATTTATATACCACCATTATAGTATTAGAGAATTCCAAATTTGCTAGAGTATACCTCTATAGTAAGTCTTAAATTTTATGTATGTTTTGTATTGTTAGTGTCCTTTCATTTCAATGTAAAGAACTCATTGTATTTCTTTTAAGGCAGGCCTAGTTGTGATAAACTCTCACAGGTCTTGTTTGTCTGGGAAAGTCCTTATTTCTCTTTCGTTTCTAAAGGACAGCCTTGCTGAATATAGTATTCTTGTATAGCAGGTTTCTTTCTTCCAGCACTTTAAACATATCTTTCCACTACCTGTTGACCTGAAAGGCTTCTCCTGAGAAATCCACTGAAGGTCTCATAGAGTTTCTGTGGTATGTGATGAATCAATTTTCTGGTGCTGCTATCTTTGACTGTTGAGAATTTGAGTATAAATGTATTTGAGTGAAGATTTCTTTATACTTAACCTATCTGGGATTATTTTGACTTCATCAATCTAGATGTTTAATTCTTTCTCCAGAATTATAAAGTTTTGTCATTATTTCTCTAAATAAGCTTTCTACCCATCTTTTTTCTCTGCTTCTTCTGAAATTTCCATAATTCATAGATTGTTTCATTTGATGGTCATCCATAAATCATGCAGGGTTTTTTTTACTCTTTTTTATTCTTTTTCACTTTTTGTTCTTCTGACTAGATAATTTAAATGGCAAATCTTCAAGCTCATTAATTATCTGCTTGGTTGAAGCCATTGTTGAAGCTTTCTATAGGCATTTTCAGTTCAGTTGACTGTGTTCTTTAGTTCCAGAATTTGTTCAGTGCTTTTTTTTACTGTCTCTTTGGGTCTATCTCTTTGTTGAACTTCTCGTTTTGTTCATATATTAGTTTCCTGATTTTATTTCATCTCTGTTCTGTGTTCTGTGTCTGTGTCTCTGTAGCTCACTGAGCTTCAAGACATTTCTTTTGAGTTCTTTGTCAGACAGTTCATAAATCTCCATTTTTGGAATCAGTTACTGGTATTTATTTTGTTCTTTTGATGTTATTATGCTTCCCTAATTATTCATAATCCTTGTGGCCATTTATTAGTGTCTGTGCATTTGAAGTAGCAGGTACTATTCCAGCGTTTACAGAATGGTCTCTGCAGCAAAGCTCTTCACCAGTCAGCTCATCAAGTGATTGTCTGTGGCCTGTCTGGTAGGGTTTGCAGGCAGGCTTGTTGCTGAAATCCTTGGGAAGGCTGGCCTGGTACCTATATAAACAGGTGGAAAGGCTTGCTTGCAGTGCCCACAGGGGCCAGATCTGTTTCCTGGGTCACTGAGGTTGGGTCTAGAGCTTCTGTATTCACTGCCATAGTCCTAGGCCTTTAGTCTGCTGGGGCAGACCTGGAGCCTGTGTGTCAGTGGGAGATAACTTAAAGCCTGGGTCCACGGAAGCCAGACTGGTGCTTAAGCAGAACTTGAGCCTGAGTCTGTGGGGGCTGGCCTACTGCTAAGGTGGGCCTGAGCCATGGCTCAACTGATGTGAGGGTGTAGAGGGCAATCTGGAAGCTGGGGCATGTGTGGTATCTAGGGCTGCACGGGGAAATCTGGAACTGGGATTTGTGGGTGCCACTCTTATGCTAGTGAAGACCTGAAGGCTGTGTTCACAATTATCTGCCTGGACTTCAAGGCTGTGGAATGTGGTCTGGCTGGGGCGCAGGCCTGAAACATGGGACTGTCAGGGCTCAACCTGGAGCCTATGACTGAAGAGACCATCATGAAAGCTGGATCTGTAGAGTCCAACATCATGCTAGAGTGGACCTTGAGGCTAGGCACATGAGTGGTGACTTTGTGACAGGGGGGGCTATGATGTCTGGACTGGAGGCTGGGTTGATAGCTCCTGGCTCTCATAGGGATTTCTTAGCTCTTGTGAGGGTATTTTTGAGTATGAACAGTTGTTCAAATTGATTCTTCTATAAGGGTACAAATACTTGAAAATTTTGTTTTGCCTTCCTATTGATGTCATTAACTTCTGAAATAAAATTCCCGTACATATACAGATTTGTATTATACCTCATTATATCATGTTATATTCCATAAAATATTATAGGCCACATATAATTTTATACAAAGTAATAATTCTACCAATTTTAAGGATACTCTGCTCTCATTTCTCTATCTTTTATAATAATTTATGGTTCTTTCTCCATCTTTTAGATTTAATTTAGTATCAATCTTTTTCAAGTTTCAGGGGGGAAAATAACAAAAAACATTTCCATTAATGTTTCAAATGAGCCCACATAGAATTTCTAGATAAATTCGAGAAGGATAGGTAGTTTTAGTTTTAAAGTATTGAGTTTTTCCAGTTTTTTTCTTCGCAAAATACATTGTATTTTTACATTTATTTAAATATTCCTGTATGTCCTTCAGTAATTTTTTTTTATTATTATAAATATCATGTAAGATTATTCCTAGTTGTATATTTTGGTTATGATAGCTTTACATAGTCTTTTTTTTACATTTTGCAACAAAAGGTATTAGAATTTGTACATTAATTTTTTGACCACACCAACTTAATGAAATCATATTTTTCCTGTACATGTTTTCTCAGTGACTTCTCTTCATTTTTTCAGTCAAAACATCATGTTAATAGCAAATAATAAATAAAAATATCCCTACTTACTTATATTTAATCTCCAGAATAAGGCTAGTACTTTCAAAGTATTGTTAAGTAACAGTATTGAGGGTAGGTTCGTGTGGTTGTCCTAACTTCAAAGGGAATCCTAGGTTTCTACAATTGGACAGAATGGTGGCTGGCTACAATTTAATCACATTTATTATGTCAAGGAACTATCTATTTTGGTATTATTCTGTTACATGCTCTTGCATAAACTACTTGTATAGTCATAATGTTTTTAAAAATTTTGTCTAACTCATATTGGAATCACTTAAACAAATTTTTTAAAATTCTTGCTCTATAAACACCACATGGCTAAGTTAGTTGATATTTTTATATACTGCTTAGTTCTTTATAAAACTATTTAACCAAAGAGTTCTGCATACCTATTCTTCAGCAATATTGAATTTTGTTTTTCTCTTTCAATGTGTTGCTTTTTTCACATTTGGGAGATGGCTGATATATTGGTTTCACAAAATATACTTGAAGGCTTATCTTTTTTGTCTGTGAATATGTTTCTCCTAGTGTATTACACATGGACCATCAGTATTACAAATGCTTGAAAGTGCTTCATTTTATTATTTGTTGTTAGGTATGGTGGCTTTTGTTTATCCATTTTGTTCATTTTTCTTTTTACAAACTAGTCCTTGGAATTTCCTTTTCTTTTTAAAAATATTTTTTTACTGCCTTATATTTTTTATTTGTCAATGTTTGCATTTGTCATGTTTCCCTTATTTTGCAGAAGTTGAAGGGGAACAGCTTTAGGAAAACTGTGAATATGAGTATTAGCCTCCAGATACAAAGCTTAGCAACTAAAAAGGAAACCCTATATACTTTGCTATTCCACTTTGAAAAATATCATAAGCTCTGATTAGTCTGACAGTCAAGTCTCATAATTGGCCCTGTCAGTGTCATCAGAGGGGTTTTGTGCTCTGGATGACCTAGCTCTGTGACTTTTCTCCACTGAGCACTGAGGGTGCTATGATGGAGAATCTCCACTAGAATATTTTGCAAAGTATATTTCAAAACTTTGAGTGTTATTTTAGTCAGAAGAAGAAATAATTGTATACTTCATTTGGTAAGTTTATCAAAATATTACTTATGATTTGAGATTTTTAACCAGAAAGCAGTATAGACTTTTAATCTGAAGATCCAGTTGTTATTTGATTTCAGGATATTTCATTTCTTATTTACCTCCATGTTTGCTTCAGTCTCTTAATCTCTTTCTCTCTGGTCTTCCTTGCAAATATATATCCAATTTTTATGCCAAGAATTTCAGCCTTTTCTTCATTTATGCACACTCTGCTTCTAGACAATGCAATAAGCATTCTCTTCATTCTCAAAGCTTCATCAAAGTGCTTGGTTAAATAAAAAAGGGTGACTGCTTTAGATATTACCATAATAAGGCTGTGTAAAAAACAATCTCAAAACTTAGTTGCAAAAAATAGACAAATAAATTAGCATTTTATACTCCTGCATCTGAAGTTCAGTTGATCCTGGTTGTGCTTGGCTGGGCTTGATTGGATTTCACAACAAACTACAAGTTGGGTTTATATCATCTCCATGTATCTTTATTCCTTCTTAAAACCCAAGGCTACCAGTCATAGCCTTCACAGGTGAAAGGCAAGAGCATAAGAATGCAAGCTCAAGTGCAAAAAAAAAAAAATTATATTTTTTCTGGTGTCACATTCATTAACATTTTATGGCCAAAGCCAGTCATGAGATCAAACCCAAAGCAAGAGTTGGGTAATACAGTGCTTCCACCATGACAGGAATGTGGATATACACCATTACTGCAGAAGAGTTAATAATTAAGAGTAATGATTCAATTTTTCACACTTTTTTTTGTTGGTCAAAATTACCCATGGGAAAAATGTACTCATTCTTACCCAAACACCCCTAAAAGATTCATTCAATAATGGCAGCAGACTCACGGTCTAGGAACAGAGGACCTACAATATGTCTACATGTAGTTTTTTGTGATCCAGATATCTATGAACTGATTCAAAGTCCACCAGAATGCAAAGTATAATGGTAGAACAGGGTAGAACATAATAAACATTCCCATTCAGAAAGAGTAATAATAGAATGCACACATCAGTAAATAGTCTATAGAAATTTTGTATTCCTGCTAGACAAATATTGCCAAGTTCCCCTATTTTGGGGACAGGCAATGTTTTTTGTTGTTGTTTGTTTGTTTGTTTGTTTTTTGATTAGGCTATGTGTCTGATTTCTGGGAATGTTTCCCTGGTGCATTGCTCTCCACAGCTCCTTTCTGTCACCTAAGCCTTTTTCTTTTCTAAAAATCTCATGTTGTGAAAACACATTGGAGAATGTGCTTTACTTCAGAGCAGAAAAGTCTATACCTGCTTTCTGCCTGAAGAGAGTAGTAAGCTCAAAGATCTTTCTACATGTTTAATACTTTCAGTTGCCTTTAGTCCAGACTAGAGAGATTTGGCTAATCCAACTCTCTCACAAATTGTAAATTTTCTATACATTTAATTGTATTTAATGTCATATTCCAAAAGCTACAACCACAATTACTTCTGAAACATGTCTCTCACTTAAATTGAAATTATAGGTTCCCTGAGGATATCAGATGTCTAGGGGACCACACCTTTCAACCTCCTAGGAGCCCTTCGTTTTTTTCTGGCTGAAAAGATCTACAAGATGTTCATCTAATCCTTTTAGAGGTCTTAAAAATGGTATTAAAACCACATGCCTATTTTGTCATACTCTAGGACCATATGTTTTTGGAAGAACCAAAGAATATTTTTTTCTCCTAAGGCTATATCCTCATAACCGTGTATTTAATAAGGTGAAAAACAGTTTAACTTGACAATTTTACACGTTCTAGTATTTCTGGGCTCTTCATAGTTTTTCTCAATTCTACTCTGACCCTGGCCAGTTCTTTCCTGTCTTATAATACTTTCCTGTCTTATAGAATCAAATGCAGCTTGAAGAAACCACCCTGGGATTACAGCAGTCGACCTCAAAATCTCCTCAATCAATATGACAAGTTCATTAGATATATTTTCTGTCCTGTCTGTTATCATGGATGACAGTTTTACCAAATATTTAGTCACTGCATAGCATAGATTGACATTTTCCCCACTTTTTATGACTTTACTCACCATTTTTCTAACCTCCTATTATAGTTCCCTTGCCACCTGCTTCTCAGTTCCAAAATTACTGCCATCAATTTTAGTTTTTTGTTTTCTTTGTTGACAACTGTGACAATGACATTGCATAACTAACCACCCCAAACCTCACTTGCTTACAACAATAGCATACTTTCTCATCCATGCATTGTGGGTTATCTGAAACTCAGTTAATCTAGATTAAATTTGGCTTTAAGTTTTAGATTAGATGCATGTCTATGCAATGTTACTTTTATTCTCTATAGAAATAACAGCTATTTTAGTCATAATTTTCTTATGGCTAAGGCAAGAATTCAAGAAGGCAAACCCAGATATGTAAATACCTTTCAACCTTTTACATCTTGGACACTTCCAGTTGTCTTTAGTCCAGACTAGAGAGATTTAGCTAATTCAAATATGCTAACATCTTATTGTCAAAATAAATCAACTGGCCAAGCTTAAAGCAAAGAGGCTATTTCTTAATAACTAATTAATTCTATATTTCAAAGATTATACTCTACTCACCATGAAACCATGACAATTATAGAGATATATATCTGTATTAGAGGGGCATGAAAACTTTAGAGCTTTATTCAATCTCTACAGACATATTTTGTTGATGTTGTTGAGAGGAACTCAGTAGACAACTTCTAAATTTCTAATATTTTCCTTCTGATGTATGTTTATCAGAGATGGTTTATATTAAACATTTTTGAAAATAGAGTCCAGTAATAGGGGCACTTTTAAATATTTGTGTTCAAGCCATATGAATTTTCATATTTTAATTATGACTTATCATTGTGACTTATTATATCACTATAACTCTGGTTTTTCTGTTTCTAATGAGAGTTAATGAAAACTAGTTTAAAAGAAATTTTTGGAGTTCCAAGATCTCAAAGGATGATAACAATAGCTTAAATCAAAATGTATACACATTATCAAAAAATTCCAAATAAATTAAAAAGAGAAGCAAATAAACCACATATGACTCATGTCTATGGCATATTTAGGACATAGAGGACACTACAAATATTAAGTTATGTTTAAGTAGGAAAATAAACACCCAAATTCCACAGATAAGTCTATGGTTGTGAAGTAAAAGAGGTAGAAATAAGACATAGAAACATAGGAAAAAGAGTAGTGAAACACAGACAGAATTACTCCCAGAAAGAGAAAGTCTTATACTTAGCATAAACATATTTGAGACAGGTTTGTTACCAGTAGATCGGAGCACTCAATATTGCAGAATTCAAAGCAATTCTGAGGGGAGGACTCAAGGTGGGAGGCTCAGGAAGGCACTGCTTCTGGTGAAAATGAAGAAACTTGAAAAAGGTAGCCATTGTTTTGAGACTTGCCAGTAAAAAAGGAAATGAAAATAATAGGCAGATTTTAAAGATTATTATTAAGAAACTCAACAAAAGGAAGTGTATATCAAGGTTTGTATATGTAGCCAAGATCTCTTTTAATATCAAGGGTATATAAAACTAGCTTTCCTCTGTACACTCAAGCAAGTAAGCAAAAAATTAAATTCAAAGCAAGAAAACAGAACTGCTCCATCCTAAAAGACGGTATTTCACTATAGCAATAGAAAAGAACATTCTCAGCCTACAAAATGTAGTCAGCTACCTAAAATTCTTCAGCCATGTCTGCATACCAGTGCTTGCTCATCCCAGAGGATAAAATATTACAAAATCAACAAGTGGTCATCCGTGTCCCTACAAAGCAACATAGTAAGAAACGGAATATAAGAATCAAAATTTTGAGCTTATAAAAAATTTCCCAAACAGTCATGAAGCAGAAAGAACCTATAATATGACATTCCTAACCTGAGTTAAATATTATTAAACAAGCATTTGGAGATATGTTAAAACAAACTGGAAATACAAAAACAGATTTTAAAAAAATCAGGAAGTTTTGAAAGAGAAATTGACCATCAGGAATGAAACTGAAGAAAAAGAAAAAAATCAACAAGGAATGAAGACAGAGTACAAGGTAGCCAATAGGGAATAGGTGAAATTGATTTTATGACAAAGAATATTGAGAAAAGTCATAAAAATTATAAAGATAACATAAAGGCATTAAATAAAGAGGTATAAAAGCATCAGGATAAACTGATTGACTAATGAGATAGGCAAAGGAAGACAAAAAATACATGTAATTGGAGTCCCTAATTTTTGAAAAAGATAACAATAGAATACAATTATTTTTAAAATTATTTTTCAGAAACATTTTTTATATCAAAAGGCTATATTTACTTATTTTAAGGGCCCAATATTTCTGGGGAAAAATAATGAAAGAAATTCAAAACATAAAACAATACAATGTTTAGAAAATAATATTAAAGAAAAACAAAAGTAAACAAAATCTCAGGACTGTAGAAAGATCAAATCATATACTAAAAGATGAAAGGTAATATTGCCATCAGGTTTCATAATAAACATATACAAAACAAAACAGCAGGACATAGCATTTTTTTCAGAAATTTTAAGAGAGAAAGTGTAAACTAAATGATGTTTTATATAGCCAAGCTATCATAAAATATTAAAGCGACAAATCAGATATAACTTGCAAGAACCAGGGGATACTATATTCAAAAGCCCTTTTTGAGGATTCTACTAGGATATAAGTTCTAACCTAACCAAATCATTTCTGGGGAGACTTTGGCAAAAGAACTAATCATGACCATTGCAATGGTGTGATATGACTGATGTATCTGATTTTAATTTTGTCCTATAATTTTATGTATATTCACTATATAAATGGCACATGTAGAATGTTTCTCCATGTGTTTTTTAAAGCAAAAGGGTGACAAGCAAAAATTGTATGAATAGTGTATGTTCTGTCAATACAGAGATAATGCAACTAAAAAGTAGAAGATAAAAAAAGAATGAATATATTGATTATGCCATATTAATATTTAGAAATAAAATGAAAATAATTAAAGGTAAAAGCCAAATAGTTAAGTGATAAATAAGAAACAATAGGCATTACAAAAGATATAAATATCAAGCTAAATATGTGAACAAAAATAAAACTTTTCTTTACTTCCAAAAAGAGTAAAAGTAAAATAAGGCCACGAAAAGAAAGTAACATTGCAAATATAAAACATTATACAAAATAAATATAAGTTAGTATTAAATAACTGAAACCAAAAATATCAGTTATAACACAGAAATTTAAATGAGTGCACATCACACAAATCATATAAAAATGATTTTTAAATTTCTTGGCCAGGCGCAGTGACTCACGCCTGTAATCCCAGCACTTTAGGAGGCCGAGGTGGGTGGATCACGAGGTCAGGAGTTGGAGAACAGCCTGGCCAACATGGTAAAACCCCAACTCTACTAAAAATACAAAAAAAAAAATTAGCAGGGGGGTGGTGGCGGGCGCCTGTAATCCCAGCTACTTGGGAGGCTGAGGCGAGGAGAATTGCTTGAACCTGGGAGGCGGAGGTTGCAGTGAGCGGAGATCGCGCCACTGCACTCCAGCCCAGGCAACAGTGTGAGACTCCATAAAAAAAAATATATATATATATCAGTAAGAAAATGCAACTCTTATAAACTCAGACAATAATAGTTGTTATCAAAACAACTATTTTGATAAATAATTATCAAAACAATAATAGTTGAAAGCACCCTTGAGCTGGCAAAAGCAGATAAAAGCCAGAGGGAGTCAACATTTGAAGAATAAAATACTGGGTGAGTGTCCCATTTTATGATTTTTTTCTTTTTTTGCCTGGAGGCAGAGCATAGTAACATGCATGCTGCATTGGTTTGTGCAAACTTGACTAGAAAGCTGAAGTGTTACTGGCATGAAAAATCAGAGACAAGGTTCTGGGTTATCATCACAGCTAGAAAGTAAAGTAGAAATTCTGAGAAGCAGGGAGCCTCACTTGAGAAGATCCAAAGCTGATTTATTAACTCTGCTTAAATCTCTGCCTGATCCCTGAACTATGAATGCACAAGGCACATTACAAGAAGCTATCCAAATCTAAAAGAACTGAACGGAAATTGTCACTATGACTCATCACAGTGGGGACACAGCTTAGAGTTAGAATTCAGCCAAGTTAACTGCTAAAGCAAAGAAATAAAAATGGTCATTATTAAGAAGATTATAAGGCCAGGTGCTGTGGCTCACGCCTGTAATCCCAGCACTTTGGGAGGCCGAGGCGGGTGGATCACCTGAGGTCAGGTGTTGAAGACCAGCCTGGCCAACATGGTGAAACCCCGTCTTTACAAAAATACAAGAATTAGCCAGGTGTGATGGTGGGTGCCTGTAAACCCAGCTACTTGGGAGGCTGAGGTGGGAGAATCACTTGAACCTGGGAAAGGCAGGTTGCAGTGAGCCAAGATGGCACCATTGCACTCTAGCCTGGGTGACAAGGAGACTCCATCTCAAAAAAAAAAAGAATATTATAATGATTATAATACAATTCATAATGTCTGTAATACATCAATCACAGTATCCAATAAATATAACATTAAAAATTACTACATATTTGAAGAAACAGAAAGTATGATTCATACTTAAGAGAAAAGAAAATCAATATAAACTAAAAGTCTGAGATGACTAAGATATTAAACTTAGAAGACAGGAATTTGAAAATGGCCATATGACTATGCTCAATGAGGCAAAGAAAATGTGTGCTCAAAATTATGAACAAGTAGAGAATCTCAGCATGGGAATAAAAGTGGTAAGAAACAAGCATACTCTAAATTCTGGAACTGAAAAGTACAAACAAAACAAAATTCACTGGTTTGGTTTAATACCACAGTGAATATGACAGAAGAAAAAATCAAGGAATTTGAAACAGATTAACAAAAATGATCTAATCTGAAAAATAGATACTAATTGCAAAATAACATAATGGGAACTTCAGTGACCTGTGGTTGAGTATCAAAAAGTTTACCATATACATAATCGGAGCCTCGGAAGGAAAAGTGAAATAGGAAGAATGTGGCAGAAAAATATTTTCAACGATAATGTCCAAAATTTCCCTCCAAAATGTATTAAAAGGCATAAAGAAACAAGGAATGCTCAATGTAAATGATGAGTTAATGGGTGCAGCAAACCATCATGGCATATGTATACCTATGTAACAAACCTGCACGTTGTGCACATGTACCCTAGAACTTAAAGTATTAAAAAAAAAAAAAAAAAAAGAAGCAAGAAGTTCGGACTACTCCAGTAAGATAAATACAAAGAAAAACCCCTAGGTGTATGATGACCAAACTATTGAAAAGATAAAGAAAAAAAAAGTCTTCAATGCAGCTGCAGGAAAACAAAACAAAACAAAAAACCGAGCATTTATGCATGGGAACATTGATGTCAGTGATGGCTAACATTTTATCACAAAGAGTGGAGGCCAGCAGACAGTGAGGATATATCTTTAAAGTGCTGAAAGAAAATAAATCAGTCAATCTGGAATTTCGTATCAAGTGAAATTATCCCAGAGGTAACATAAAGGCATTTTTGGAAAAGCAAAAACAAACCTAAGAGACTTAATTACCAGCAGACTAGCATTAAAGTAAATGACAAAGGAAGTACTTTATATTGAAGATAGATGGTAACATCTGAGTTGTTATAAACTCAGAGTTGTGGAAAGAATGAAAGAGTATGATAAATAGTAAATATAGGTAAATAAAAAAGAATAGATTTTTCTGTTAATTTCTTTAAAATGCATATAATTTTAAGGTGAAAATTATAACACTCTAGGGTAGAGTATATTGTATATGTATATGTAACACATAATAAATAGCTTAAAGAGTGGGGGGAAGAAAAGAAAATGTTTAATCCAAAATTCTTACACTATATAAAATTGTGTATTACTATAGGTTTTAATCACTACCAAAACCACTTGTAAAAATATCATAAAATAGACAATAGCTGAAAAAACAATAGAGATATTTAGAATTATAAAAAATATACAATAAACACAAAAGAAGGCAGGATAGAAGGACAGAGGAGCAAAAATAGATGGAACAAACAAAAAACAAATAGCAGGGGCATTGGTTCTTCCAGGTGGCTGATTAGAGGCTTTCTTGGCATGCCTCTCCTACTTGAAAGACAAAATAGTGTGTAAAGATTCCTGCTGCAAATGTTTATCCAAGAAGCAACACAGGAACCCAACAGAAAAACTGTAAGAAACCATAGACTCTTTGCAAGAAGCAGTAGGCAGGAATCTGCATTGTAACCTAGGCAGAAGACTGAGGCAGTGAAGCTGCTCCCATACCCAATACATCACTAATCACACAAAGATTATATATAATCCAGAAATTCATACAGTCTTTGCCACTGAAAGCACCCAGAGAAGAACCTAGGTAAAAATAAGCTATAAACGTTAAAGTCACATTTTCAGGTAGGAAAAATGAAAAAACAATTCAAAAGTTAATTAGAACAAATAGTCTACCCAAAGGAGAAGAAACCAGAAAAAGACTTCTGGCTATATGAAGAAACAGAGTTCTATAACACTCCCAAAAGATCACTTTAACTCTCCAGCAATGGATTCAAACCAAAATGAAATCTTTTAAATACCAGATAAAGAATTCCAAAGGCTGATTATTAAGTTACTTGATGAGATACAAGAGAAAGTTGAAAACCAACATAAAAAAATAACAATTTGGGATACAAATAAAAAGTTTTCTAAAGAGATAGCTATTATAAAGAAAAACCAATTCGAAATTCTGGTAATGAAAGATCCCTTTAGAGAGTTACCAAATGCAGTGGAAAGTTTTAAGAATAGATTAGATGGTGTAGGAGAAATGATTTCAGAGCTTGAAGACAGGATTTCAAATTAACCCAATCAGAAAAAAGAAAATTAGAATAAATTAACAACGTTTTGAAGAAATATAGGCCTATGTAAAATGTTCAAACCTAAGAATCACAGGTGTTCCTGAGGGAGAGGAAAAAAAAAGAAAAAAATTTGAAAAACGTTTTTGAGGGAATAATTAAGGAAAACTGTCCTGGCCTTGCTGGAGATTTAGACATCCAAATACAAGAAGCTCAAAGAACTCCTGGGAGATTCATAAAGGAGAGATATAAAGTAGAAAGCCTTTCTCAGATAAGAAAATGTTAAGGGAATTTATCATTACTAGACCAGCCCTAGAAGAAATGCTAAAAAGGAGCTCTAACACTTGAAACAAAAGGTTTATATGCACCAGAATAGGCACACTTTAAATAATGAAATTCACAAGGCGTATAAAACAATAACACAATGAATATAACAAAGCAGGTAACATTCCACATCATGTTTGTAAAGTACATCACATCTCAATATTAACTTTGAATGTAAATGGTATAAATGCCTGATTTATCAGATATAGATTGGCAAAATGGATTAAAAAAAATCACAAGTCAAATATCTGCTGTCTCCAAGAGAAACACCTAACATGTAAAGATTCTTATAGACTCAAGGTAAAAAGGTAAAAGCAAAATTCCACACGTATGGAAACCAAAAGACAGCAACAGCAGTTATTGTTATATCAAATAAAACATATATTAAAGCAACAGCAGTAGAAAAAGACAAAGAAGATCATTATACAATGAAAAAGGATCTAGTCAACAAGAAGACATAACAATCCTAAGTGTATGTGCATCTAATTTCAGAGCTCCCAGATTCCATAAAATAATTACCACTACACCTAAGAAAAGAGATAGACAGTAACACAATAAGATTGGAAGACTTCAACACTTCACCGGCACACTATACACATCATTGAGGCAGAAAGTTAACAAAGAAAAAGTGGACTTAAACTGAACTCTAGATCAAATGTACCTAATGGATATTTACAGAACACCCTAACCAAGAACTGCAAAATATACATTCTTCTCATCAGTATGTGGAAAATTCTTGACAATAGACCATATGCTAGGCCACAAAACAAGTCTCATAAATTTTTTAAAAATCAAAATCATATAAAGCATCATCTCAAACCATAGCAGAATAAAACTAGAAATCAATTCCAAAAGGAACCCTCAAAACTATACAAATACATGGAAATTAAACAATCTGCTCTTTAATTATTTGGGGGTTAGCAATAAAATCAAGACAAAAATTTAAAATTTTTAAGAAATTACTGATAACAGTGACACAAGTCATCAAAACCTCTGGGATACAGCAGAAGCAGTGCTAAGAAGAAAGCTTATATCACTAAATGCGTATATCAAAAAGTCAGAAAGATTACCTATTGACAAACTAATGTCACACCTCAGGGAACTAAAGAACGAGCAAACCAGACTCAAAGCTAACAGAAGAAAAGAAATAACAAAGATTAGAACAGAACTAAATAAAACTGAAAATGAAAACAATAAAAAAGATCAAAGAAATAAAATTTTGTTCTCTGAAAGATAAACAAGACTGATAGACCACTACCCAGACTAACCAAGAAAAGAGGAGAAAAGATACGAATAAGCTCAGTTAGAAATGAAAATGGAGACATTATCACTGACACCACAAAAATACAAAAATAATTATTTGAGACTACTATGAACATCTCTATGCACACAAACTAGAGAGCCAGAAGAAATGAATAAGTTCCTGGAAACATACAACTCCCTAGCTTGAATCAGGAATAAACAGAAATCCTGAACAGACCAATAAGAAGCAGTGAGATTGAATCAGCAATAAAAATAATTCTGCCAACAAAAGGAAAGCCCAGAACCAGATAGATTCACAGCCAAATTCTACCACATGTTCAAAGAACTGATACCCTGGGACATGACAAAGATGCCTACTGTTACCACCCTTATTCAGTGTATTACTGGAAGTCCTAGCTAGAGCAATCAGACAAGAGAAAGAAATAAAGGGCATCCAAATTGGAAAGGAAGAAGTAAAATTACCCTCATTAGCTGATGATATGATCTTATATTTGGATAAACCTAGACTCCATAAGAAAACGATTAGAATGGATTTAAAAAATGCAGTAAAGTTGCAGGATACAAAATCAACATACAAACATCAGTAGCATTTTTTATGCTGTATTAGTCTGTTTTCATGCTGCTGATAAAGACATACCTGAGACTGGGAAGAAAAAGAGGTTTAATTGGACTTATAGTTCCACATGGATGGGGAGTCCTCAGGATCATGGCAGGAGGCAAAAGGCCCTTCTTACATGGTGGTGGCAAGAAAAAATGAAGAAGCAAAAGTGGAAACCCCTGATAAACCCATCAGATCCCTTGAGACATATTCACTCACATGAGAATAGCACAGGAAAGACCAGCCCCATGATTCAATTACCTTCTTTGGGTCCCTCCCACAACATGTGCAAATGCAAATAAAACTACCATGAGATATCATCTCACCCTAGTTAAAATGGCTTATATCCAAAAAACGGGCAAAAACAAATGATGGTGAAGATGTGAAGAAAAGAGAACCCTTGTACACTGTTGATGGGAATGTAAATTAGTACAACCACTATGGAGAACAGTTTGGAGGTTTCTCAAAAATCTGAAAATTGAGCTACTATGTGATCCATCAATTCCACTGCTGCGTATATACTCAAAGAAAGGAAATCAGAATATTGAAGAGATATCTGCACTCCTACATTTGTTGCCACACTGTTTACAATAGCTAAGATTTGGAAGCCAACTAAGTGTCCATCAACAGATAAATGGGTAAAGAAAATGTGATGCATATACACTACGGAGTAATATTTAGCCATAAAAAATAATAAGATCTAGTCATTTGCAACAACATGCATGGAACTGGAGGTCATTATGTTAAGTGAAATAAACCAGGAACAGAAAGACAAACATCGCATGTTCTCACTTATTTGTGGGATCTAAAAATCAAAACAATTGAACCCACAGTCATAGAGAATAGAAGGTTGATTATCAGAGGCTGGGATGGGTAGTGGAGGGTTGGGGAGGAGGTGGAGATGATTAATGGGTACATGAAAAATAGAAACAATGAATAAGACCCATTGTTTGATAGCACAATAAGGTGACTATAGTAATGATAACTTCATTCTATATTTCAAAATAAATAATGTAATTGGATTGGTTTGTAATTCAAAGGATAAATGCTTGAGGGGATGGATACTCCATTCTCTCTGATGTGCTTATTTCACACTGAGTGGCTGTATCAAAATATCCCATATACCCCATAAATATATACACCTATTAGGTACTCACAACAATTTTTAAAAATAAAAATTAAAAAATAAAGAACAGGTACTAATCCTACTGAAACTATCCCAAAAGATTGAGAAGGAGAGACTCCTCTCTAACTCATTTTATGAACCCAGGATTACCCTGATACTAATGACAGGAAATGATAGAAATAAAAGAAAACTATAGAACAATATCTCTGATGAACATAGATACAAAAAGCCTCAACAAAATACTAACTGAATCCAAAAACACATAAAAAAATTCACCATGATCAAGCGGGTTTCATCCCAGGGATGCAGGGATGTTTCAACGTATGCAACTCAATAAATGTGATACATCATATCAACAGAATTTAAAAACATAAGATTATCTCAGTAGATGCAGTAAAAGCATTTGCTAAAATTCATCATGCTTTTATGATGAAAACCCGCAACAAACCATAAGTAGAAGGAACATTCCTAAAAATTTAAAAAGCCATATATGACAAATCCAAGTTCAACATAATTCTCAATGGGGAAAAGTTGAAAGCATCCCCCCTATTAACGGAAACATGACAAGATGTCCACTTTCACCGCTGTTATTTAACATGATGCTGGAAGTCCTAGCCAGAGAAATCAGACAGGAGAATGAAATAAAATGTATCCAAATTGGAAGAGAGGAAGTCGAACCCTATATGTTTGCTGATACTATCTTATACCTAGAACATTTTAAAGACTCCTCCAAAAGACTCTTAGATTTTAGAAATGAATTCAGTAACTTTTCACGTTGCAAAATCAATGTATACAATCAGTAGCTTGTTATAAACCAACAATAACCAAGTTGAGAATCAAATCAAGAACTCAGTCCATTTCACAACAGCTCCAAAAAATATAAAGTACCTAGGAATATACTTAACCAAGGAGTCAAAAGATTTCTACAAAGAGAAATGCAAAACACTGCTGAAAGAAATGATAGATGCCATAAAAGTGGAAATACATCCCATGTTCATAGATTGGAAGAGTCCATATCATGAAAATAACTATACTGCCCAAAGCAATCTAGGGATTCAATAGAATTCCTATCAAAATACTAACTTAATTTTCCTAGAATTAGAAACAAATCCTAAAATATACATGGAACCAAAAAAGAGCCTGAGTAGCCAAAGCAATCCTAAGTAAAAAGAGCAAAACTGGAGGCATCACATTACCCAACTTCAAATTATACTATGAGGCTATATAATAGCCAAAACAGCATGGTACTGGTATAAAAGTAGATAGACCAATGGAACAGAATAAAGAACCCAGAAATAAAGTCACATACTTAAAACTAACTGAACTTGACAAAGTATACTAAAACATCAGCTGAGAAAGTATACCATATTCCATAAATAGTGCTGAGAAAATTCCACAGCCACATGTAGAAGAATAAAACTAGATCCCTATCTCTCACCATATAAAAAAACTAACTCAAGATGGATTAAAGTCTTAAATCTAAGACTTGAAACCACTACAAATCTAGAAGAAAACCTAGGAAAAACTCTTCTGGACATTTGCGTAATCAAATAAATTAGACTAAGATCCCAAAAGCATCAAGAAAAATAAAAACAGAAAATGAGACAATTAAACTAAAAAGCTTCGTACAGCAAAAGAAATAATCATCAGAGCAAATGGAGAACCTACCAAATGGGAGAAAATACTTGCCAACTATACATCCAACAAAGGATTAATATTCAGAATCTACAAGTAAGTCAAACAAACCAGCAAGAAAAACAAACAAACAAACAAATATTCCCATTAAAAATGGGCAAATGGCATGAACAGACATTTCTCAAAAGAAGATATACAAATGGCCAATTTACATATGAAAAAATGCTCAATATCACTAATCATCAGGGAAATGCAAATTAAAACCATATGATAGCATCTTACCACATCAAGAATGGTCATTACTAAAAAGTTAAAAAAAAAATAGATGTTGGCATGGATGGGGTGAAAAGCCAACACCTATACAATGCTTGTGGGGATGTAAATAACTACAGTCTCTATGGAAAACAGTATGGGGATTTTCCAAAGAACTAAAAATACATTCACGATTCGATCCAGCAATCCCATTACTGGGTATCTACCCAAAGGAAAAGAAGTCATAATGGAAAAAAGACGGCTGCACATGTATGTTTACCTCAGCACAATTCAAATTTTCGATGATATTGAAGCAACTTAAGTGCCCACCAACTAAGGAGTGGATAAACTGTGAGACACACACACACACACACACACACACACACACACACACACCATGGAATACTACTCATCCATAAAAAGAATGAAATAATGTCTTCTGCAGCAACTTGGTCAGAACTGGAGGCCATTATTCTAGGTGAAGTAACTCAGGAATGGAAAACCGAATACTTCATGTTCTCATTTATAAGTGGGAGCTAAGCTATGGGTACAAATTTTTTGAATGAAAACAAAATTCCTATATATTACAATCTATGGCTTGTATTTATTTTAAAAATTTTTCCAACTCAAAACATCTAAAAATGTACAGTTTACAAGAAAAAACTAAGGAAGGATTTTTTTAAAAAATGAAAATAAATCAGCCCCCAAAATTAAAAACTAAATTTAAATATAAATACTAGTTATATAAAAACATTAACCAAAAAACAAAGACATGGAAAGCAAGAAAGCAAAAATATACAAAATAATTAACAAAAACATATAAATAAAATCATGAAATAACAAAAATCATGACAGAATACTTTCTATATCTGTACGCAAATATGTTGTATACTTAGGTAAGGAGGAAATTTTCCTAGTAACCTACAGTAAGTAAAAACAATCCTGAGACACAGAGTTGAAATAGATGGGTTTCACTGGAGAATAGTGAAAGGTAAAGAAGAAAAAAACAAAACAAACAAACAAAAAAACATCCTACCAAAATTAGAACCAGAGTTAGGTGGTTCCACAGGGGCGGTCTATAAAATGGTTAATATTTATTTGTGCAATTGCTACATAAGTTGTTCATATAACTTATGTAGTTATATCCTTCACTTCATAAAAGTGAAGGAAGACTTCCAAATTACTTCTTATGAGACAGATATATCATTAAATGGTGAATGGTGGTAGCAGAAAACAAAACAAACAAAAAACAAATATTACTTGTAAATACAGATGTAAAAATTCTAAATAAAACATCATCAGATGGAACTGAATAGACCCACAGGAAAGTAATACATAATGACCAAGTGAGGTTTTGGAAATCTATTCATTTATTTCTTTATATTAATACTGCCAGGGAGAAAATACTAGTTTCCCAGGATTCCTTTGACAAAATTTGATACATAATTCTTCTAATAATATTTAAAGGAATAAGTACTATACACATACACACACACATATCCACGTAGTAGAAGCCTTCATACTCAGGTCAGGAACAAAGCAAAGATGTCTACTTAACTACTACTGTTTAACATTGTATAGGAATATCAGTCAATTTGAAAAGAAGAAGTAAAATGTATCTATTTTCAAATGATATGACTATTTTTTGGAAATGTGAGAGAAGAAATCATAAAACCAATGCATATAATAATATCCTATAACATAATAGAATATAAAAATGAACATCAAAAACCCAACAGCCTTCAACTGCACACAAAAAATCATAACTGTGGAAAAATACTTTTAAAAAAAATATTTAAATAGCAACAAAATGCGGAAAATTTAGAAACACAAAACAAGAAATATGTGAAACCTCTAACTGTAAAACTTAAAAACTCTCATAAAAGCACAAAAATAGTTTTGGACTGAACGACAAACAGTTTTTGGTTTTGGATTCAGTATCATATGCATGACAAATTTCTTTAAGTTAATATCTAAATTGAGTGCAATTTCAATAAAAATTCACATAATTTTATTTTTTGCTATACAAGTTAATTCTAAAGTTATCATAGAAAAATAAACCTGCAAGGTCTGAAATCCTGAAGAAGAGTAACAAAGTGCATATACTTATCAGATACGCAAACATGCTACAAAGCTTCTGTAATCAAAACGGTTGTTTACTGGCATATGGTTCAATGCAAAGAGCAGTAGAACAGAATAGAAAGTTCAGAAAAGAACCCAAGTATGTATAGAAATTTAGTGTAGTGTAAAGGTGACACCTCAATCATTGTAGATAGTGCAGGCTTATTAGTAAATATGATAGGTCAACTGTATTGCCATCTGAGAAATATAATATTGAATTTGTATCCCATAGATTACACAAAAATGAACTCTCAAAGTATCAGAAATCTAATTGTACAAAACAAAAGCACACACAAATGGAAGAAAACATGAATTAATTCCCATGTAATCTGGATAGGCAAAGGGGCCAGATCTTTCTACTTGTGTCTCACTATCCTGATATAATAAAAGAAAATACTGGTAAATTCAACAACATAAAAAGAACAGCCTTGTGCCTAGACAACAAAATTATAAATAAATTAAAACATAAATTACAAACTGGGAGGAAATTTTGTGTAACATTTATTCTAAGAGCTAACTATAGAAAAATGTAAATAATTTTAAGAAATCAAGAAATATGAATAAAATAAAAGAAGGGGGTAAATGTTTACATCTATGAGCATGGAGGTATGTATATATGCTTATTTTTGCCAAAGAAATGCAGGAAGGGTAAAACTAAAAAATGATTACACTTGTTTCCTACAGAAGATATATGGAAACACTAGAAAAGGTAAGAAAAGAAAAGAGACTTTACAGAGTATTTCTACTTGCTCTGACTTTATCATTTTCTGATTTGACTTTTGAATGATATTAATATGTTTATATTCAAGAAAAACTAATTCAAGAAAGAGCTGCAAAAAATACAAATACAAGCAAATACTTAATTGGATTCACAGTAACTAAAAAGCAACTTTTATATAAAATACTCCACTATATTCCCAGTGGTATATATTCTAAAAACAAAAGGAAATCTTGACCTTTAATTAATAATTTTTTAGTGCTAGTGGTATGAGTATAATAAGTCTGAAACTGTTTCATGTGTCTTGAATGATTGAGTGCACAGTACACATATTGATATTGATGCAACCACATTCATTTTCAACTGTGGAAGAAGAAAGTTACAAATGCACATTGGGAGGAGAGAAAAAATACTATAATGTTGAATTTGAAATGGAATTATAGATACAAGTTAATGATTTTTAAAATATATATCTCTTAGTTCTGTTCCCTGATGAAGTTAGTAGCAATAGTATATCAGTAACAATGAGCATGTAAATCACTTAGACCTTGATTCTATAAGAACTATTTTCCTCTGAAGGAAGCTAGAACTCCTTGGAAAATGGCTACCTCTAGGTCTGTGCAAGAGAAACAAGGTAAGCATGGGACATACTGTCACATCAGAATAAGACGTTCTCAAAAGTTGATAGGAGCATATCAAGAAGACATAAAATTTTGAAGAGGTTCCCTTTGGCCAAATCTGGGATAATTTGAGCATTAAAAAGAAATATGGTTTATATTATGATGGAAATGGTTTATAACAGATTGACTAATAAACAAATCTATGAGCCATAGTAATACTAAGTTTCAAAAGGCAGAGGAGGGAGTGAAATCTCTATTTTATAGAAAAATGCCAACTAATAAATGTAGGAGCAATGGCCAAATTAGAAAATCATCATTTTTAATCAACATTTTAGGAATCAGTTCAGGCACAAATTATCAATGGATGCTAAAATCATTGGGTTAAAGATTGTTTGGGAACACAGTCTCAACATATGATCTTATGGATTAGTTATTAATTGTGAAGGGGAAAAGACATCACAGATGAGAAATGTGTTGAATACTACCTTTACCAAATGATCAAATGTAATACTGCTAATAGTAGAACAAATTAACATCATGACCTGCTATAATGCACTGAGAATGATACAGAATCATCTCTCTAGTATTCGTATTAAAAATGTTTAGCGTTAATCTAATCATGAGGAAAGAAACAAAACAAATGATTCTGCAATACAAATGGCTTGCCTTCTTAAAAAATATCAGTGTCATGAAAGGGAAAAAAAAGATAAGGAATGATTTTTTTTATTAAAGTAGACTACAGAATGATGACAATTAAATGCATTGATTGGGTCCTAGAAAAGGGGGGAACAAGAAATGGAACATTATTGGGTAAATTAGGCAAATTAAAATATGGGCAATATACAATAATAAATCAATGTTAATTTTTCAATGTGAACATTCTATTATAGTTATATAAAAACATTTCTTAAGTATTAACACGCTACATGCTTAAGTTAACAGCTACATGCTTAAGTATTTGGAGTGGGAAAATGTTAACAATTGGTGATTGTAAGTAAGGGATAAAATAATGTACACTGTTCCTTTTTTGCAAATTTTCTAAAATAAAAATGGTGGAGGAAAAGAACACTACGAAAGCCACACAAATTCTTATATTGAACATATTTTGTTTGTTTCAAAAGTGAGGTAAAATATTAACCCTCCCTTGGAATCTAGAGAATTGAATTGATCCTGTAACACTCTGGCTCCTCAATGTAATTGAGAAGTAGGATAAAAACAAAAAGTAGATTTGATGTGAACAATCCTAAACAATGCACTGGTGTGTGGAACTAACATTCTCCAAGTTGCAAATCCTACATTCAGAATGTAGTTCTGAGATGAAATTTCCCTATTTCCAAAAAATGAATCCTCTTCCTCGGAGAAGAGAAACACCAATATATCAAGGACCAAATGACATCATCATGAATAAACTGCTTCTATGGTGCTGGGCAGTGGTGGACTTGGTGGGAGAAATGAAGTGGCACAAATAGCTTGCTTTTTTGTGTGTGTGTTTGAGTTCTTTTTACTGTGACTGGATTGATAAACTGGATATGCTCTTCTATTTTAGAGATGCCCTCAGTTTTGGAGGTCTAAGTAAAATACTAGGGCGGAAACTTTAAGCCTGGCCCCTAAAGGCAAGTGGTAAAGGAAAGTGTGGCAGACATTGAAGACTGGCCTAAACAACATCCGGTTAGGGCTGACCATGTGACAGGCCCCTGGCTAATGAGATGCAGGTGCTAGTGCTGCTTTTTCTTTCTTTTGTAATTGTCTTGGCTGGATATGATATGATGGGAACAGCCTTAGCAACCATACTACCAACATCTTGGGAAGACCAAGGAAAGCCATCTCAATCACTGAGTCACTAAATCAACGATGCAATTAACTACTTCTGGGAGAAACGTATTTGTCCTGTTTAAGCCAGCCACTTTATTTAATTCATGATACAATGTCCAACTTCCTGCAGTGAGACCAGGAATTTGTGGCAAAAACCTAACATAGAGTATGAATAATTTAATTCAGCTTGAATGTCCCCTGTGTGACCTCCCTCAGGAACCTGTGTGACCAAATATAGTATACTACCAGTAGAGATAAATCATACCTTTAACAAGTGTAAAATAAATCTTGGCCAAGGCAGAACTGATTGAGCTATGTCAGGTTAAAGGAAGAGGCAAAGTGGAGACCCTGAGGAGAGAAAAAGGAGGTAGTGTCGAATTTATCTTGGACCAAAGTTCTCCACATCAATCACCTGGAATCATTAAAGGCCAACATGCATGGTGTGAGATGGAGCGACGGTGAGGAAGTGGCCTCTTACGAGTAAGGCTGAAGACAGAATGCATAGAACAGTCAGGTTCAGAAGACAGCCTGTGTAGTAATAATTCTCAAATTATGTTATTTTCAGTTGAAAATTTGAAGCAAGTGGGCTTTCCTAAAATTAGTTAATAAAATATTTAAAAGTTATTATATGATACTTGAAAAATATAATAAATCTTGATGAGGACACTTGATCCAGAGAGCTAGCCAATATTAAAGTTCTCGCCAAAGCAGCCTGGCATTTGGCTTCTTCACAAAGGCACTCCCATAGACACAGAAGCATCTGTTCTTCTACTTACTACTTACGTTAAAATGAAAGCTATTCAATAAAATATTTATAAGTATCATTTCCACTGGTGGCTGGGTGGAAATAAAATGGCAAGAAACCAAATTTCTAATAAATATATGAATAGCTACTTTGCTGACCACTCTTTGACATGAACATCATTCACAATTCCTGATTCTTTTTCAATGTGTGTCTTCTCATCAGAAAATTAAAATAAAAATATTCTACATCTCTACTTCTAAGTGTACAAAATAAATGAGTCCTATCAATATGGACAACAGCCATCAATTGGTACAAGTTTTCCCTATTCAAAAATTAGATTGTTAACTCAATCATCTATTAGTTAATTCATAAACAATGTATTTTATGCTAGATATTGTCATAGGCTCTGTGGATAGAGGAGTAAACTTGACCCTCCAAAAACTTACCTGAAGCTAATTCATTCCAAAGTGGATAATAAAGACAATGTAAAATAATGCTATTTATTTGTAACATGCATAAAGTTAGGGGAGTTGTATCTTGCCTGGAAGCCAGCCTCAACAGAGACTCACTTAGGAAAAAGTCATTAAAGCAATTTAGTCATTTAATAGGCTCTTCCAAAAAATGTTAGCAGACAGACCTCAATTTCAACAAAAAATTTTAAATTCTACATTACTAGTCTCTCTATGTCAAAATCTTTCATGCATATTTCCTTTCATTCTGTGGCCTCTTAAAAAACAAACCCTCCCTTCACCCTCTATACACAGGTTCTGAACACCTTTTTCCTCCCTCACTGCCTTCTTTATTGCATGAATCATATTAGTTACTCTGGCATCCTTATTTATTGGGTGGTGGATTGAATGTTTAGTTACTACACATTTTTGTACAAAGAGTGTAAAGCTATGTTTTTATAATACCTTTTTCTCTTTGCAAATGAGCTTTTTTCTTTCTTGTTTGAGTGAGATTTATGTAGGATAACTGCAGAAATCCTTCCAAATTCAGCTTTGTATTGCCTACCCAGCCTCCATCTAGAAATTCTAGGAACTTAAGGAATTTTGAATTTCTCATGGAAAGGGGCCAGAGAGAGGTAAGCTAGCCCCCAAAAAAGAATTGTCATAAAACAAACAAACAAAAAATAGAATTTGACCCCAAAATTTGTAAAGCTGTTTGAATCTTGGCTATAGTTTTTCTTAAAAATTTCACTAAGGGTATTACAATTACAATGTTTCTCAGATTTTTGGAAAGCCATTTTTTCAATCTCTTGCTATTTATTTCACTTGTCTGGCAACTGTCTACTCCCCCGTTGTCCCAAGTGCCATCTCTTCATCTCCAAACTGTAAATATCTGCTTTTGTTCAGCCTCTATAAACTCATTTACGCCCTCCTTATTCCTGCTGCACTTTTGCCTTTATTGCTATGACCAGTTTATTATGTAGATAACATCAGCTACTTTGTTAATATTTTTTCCACTATATCATTACCTGGATCCTTTCCAATAAAGGAAGACCTTATCTGGCATAATGAGGACACAGGAGGAGGGTAGATGTCAAATACTTCTAACTTACTGACATTTCTGTTGTTTTTGTTTGGTTGTTTGAGAGACAGGGTCTTACTCTGTTGCCCAAGTTGTGGTACAGTAGTGTGATCATTGCTCACTGCAGCCTTGCACTCCTACGCTCAAGCGATCCTCCTGCCTCAGTCTCCTGAGTAGTTAGGACTATAGCTACATGCCATCATGCCTAGCTTTTTTTTATTTTATTTTAATTTTTTTATAGAGATAGGGTCTTCCTTGCCCAGGCTTGTCTAAAACTCCTGATCTCAAGTGATCCTCCCGCCTCAGCCTCCCAAAGTACTAGGATTACAGGCATGAGCCAGCATGTCCAGCCATAACTTGCTAACATTTCTTTTATTTCTATCACTGCTGAGAGAAAATCATAGTAAGGGTGGAGGAAGGAGGAATAACATTTCTGTATACCTACTATGTGTTAAGAATAATATTCAGTGATTTTCATAGACTATGTTACTTAAAGGAAGTTTGACTTTTAGAAATGTTAAGTGCAGTCTTTTCTGTATTTACGAGCCAGGAATTTTGAATGGGCTGTGGATTTAAAGAGTCCTTATATCAATATTCATACCAAGCATGAAGTCAAGGAATCACCAGTTTAAAAAATGGGATTCCCAATTTTTTGTTTTTATTTTTGCAATCAGGACGCACTTGATGGATGGTTATATGACGCTTCCAAGGAGTACACTTCGGTAAATATGAGTAGTAAATTAAATTGTATTTTGAGTGTGCCTCCCTTAACTTTGCCTTTTTTTAAAATCCTATTCAGTAAAACATATAGGGACATAAAGAAGGTGCAACTACCAAAGTGTTTTTTAAAAAAATCTACTTACATATATAAAATAAATTAAACTTTGCCACATTATTAGAAATTCCAAACTACTTTGGTTAAAACCCATCACAAATACACTAGTTCAAAGTAAGTAAGAAATAACCAATGCACATGTTCATAAAATGGTCTATGCTGCTTCAGAAGAAACAATATACTTTATCTAGCCATTTTACTAATATCCGTGGGCCAACAGAAAAAGTACATGCCCTTATGGAGCAGGAAGTTTTAGAGAGTAACGAAGTAAACAGATACATAATATAACATTAGAAAGAGGTTGGCTTAGAAAAAAAAAAAGCAGAGAAAATAATGAAGAGTGAGAGTAGAGTGTTGTGTTGCTATTTCAGATAAGGTATTGAGAGCAGATTTCTCTGATTTAGTAATAGGTGAGTACAGACTACAAAGAGTTGAAGGAGCAAGCCATGTGGTTCTCTAGGGAAGAACATTTCCTACAGAGGAGCCCTATCAGAAAAGACCCCGAGGCAAGCACATGCTCAGAGCAACAGGATGAGTGTGAAGAAAGAAGGTCAGAGAGCTGAGAGAGAACCAGATCAGGTGGAGGACTTTGATCTTATACTAAAATGATGGAAAGTCATTACAGTGCTTTCAGCAAGGGTGTAACATGATCAGATTAATGTTTTAAAAGGATCACTCTGGCTACTGTGCAAAAAATAGCTGCTGGGGGCAGTAGTAGAAAAAAGCGTTCAGGAAGCTATTGCAATAATCCACAAAGGAGAGGTTGTGACCAAGAGACCTTGGAAATGACTTTTCAAAAGTACATTCTAAACTGTGGCTGTGAAAAATAACATCCTCTTCTGAGTGAGGGAGTCTACTGGAGTTCGGTATATGGCACACCATAAACAGGTCTTTAATATATCTCAGAGCAACTGACAATTACAAAATGATCTTATGAGAATGAGGGAAGTGGTATGGTCAAATTTATCTTAACTGAACTATAATGATCATGTTGTTATATGCATAATTTTACTGTAATAAGAAAAAATCAACATGGGAGGTCAATAGGTATTGCTGAGAAGGGTAAATGTAAGACCAATTTTGCATACTTCCTGTACTTATCTCTGAAATCTCTCTATTCCTTTCTCCATTTTGGACATGTTCTTTTGTTGGACTGTGGCCCATACTTTCACAGGTGATTCTTGGTATTTGCATTGTAGTTCCCCAGGAGACACTGGTGTTCAGGAAACTCATGTGTACTATTACGTTATATAGGACATGTTTTCCGAAAGCAGGCAGATATACAGATGGATATGCTGAAAGATTAAGAAATGCATGTCTAGGCCGGTCACGTTGGCTCTCGCCTGTAATCCCAGCACTTTGGGTGTCTGTGGTGGGCAGATTACCTAAGGTCAGGAGTTCGAGACCAGCCTGACCAACATGGAGAAACCCCGTCTCTACTAAAAATACAAAAAAATTACCCAGGCATGGTGACAGGCGCCTGTAATCCCAGCTACAGGAGGCTGAGGCAGGAGAATCGCTTGAACCCGACAGGCAGAAGTTGCGGTGAGCTGAGATCACGCCATTGCACTCCAGCCGGGGCAACAAGAGCAAAACTTCGTCTAAAAAAAAAAAAAAAAGAAAAGAAAAGAAAAAATAAATGCAAGTCTTTGGCCAAACATTGTAAAGAAAAGCCACATATTCTGTAGGAAATTGTGTTGGTTCGGTCCTCACATGGCTCTGACCATTTCAGAACTCTGAGAACTTATATACATGTAATTAGCATTTCAGATCACATTATTTCATAAGCAAGTATTTACACCTGAGTGTCACTGAGGTACTCAGAGCCTTAATATTAGATTAAGTGAGACATAGTGTCAAATGCCCTGGCAATCTGGATACTTTTCTTGAATCCAGAACTTCCTTCCTTGATGATCATGCACAAATACAAATAACTTGACATTTCTAAGCCTCAGTTTCCTCATCTGTAAAAGTAATTGGCCCGAATGCTCCAGAAAATCCTTTCCCACTCTTGCCTTCTGTCATAGGGTTGAATAGAATCTTCTGGTAGGCTTACATTTCAACTACCTGATTTTCCCTGTATTTTTCCTCCCTCCTCTTTTACTCTAACAACATCATGCCATCTTCTCTCTCTCGTCCTACACCAAAGATGAAACAAAGGGCTACAAGAAGAAGGGTTTAGAGGTTTCCAATTGGGGCTTTCCTTTCCAAGAAACCAGGTAAGACAGAGTTTGGGTAAGGGGAGGAGGAGAAAGGAGTTGCAAATTACATGAAAAAAAAAAAAAAAAAGACTAAAGGGATGAATGCAGAAACTCAACACTGGGTGCATTGCTGTAGGAGGTAATGGAAAATTTCCCATGTTGGTCTAAGAAGTGGAGTGGTAGGTGCTCTTAAGTTTGGGATGACTTCCAGTGTGGGCTCCCTTCTCCTTCTGTTAGTGCACCTGTCCCATATGTAGGCCTGCCATTCAACACTCCTGAACACATGTAATTCTCCCCTCCAACCTAGACTTGGGCATCTTGTCTGGAGGGAGAAGTATGAGGAAGAGCAACGTTTGCTGATCAAGATGCAACAGCAGAACAGTTGGAAATTCCTGTCTGGTCAGGGTAGCAATGAACACAGTGCATATTATAATCTCTATCTTATAGGAAGGGAAACAGAGATTTGTAGAAATGCTGGGGAGAAAAACAACCTGATGCAATATAGTTCATATTAGTTACAAATAGTTTGAAGCTTGTTTTAACATTAAAAAAAAAAAGTGTGTGGTGCTCTATTGCTTTGAAAATGGCACTGAGTCTAAGTTAACCACTCAATAGTTGTATGACTTCTATCAGTTACTATACGTCTTTGGTGATCAGTTTCCTCATTTACAAAATGAGGCAATTGGAAATGATAATCTTTGGGATCCCTTCTGGTTGTGATAGTTTCTGGTGCTATAAACAGAATCTGGTAAGATATGGTTTGTAAGGGTGAGGATAATTTAAATGTCCTGCATCTGGACTCAGTGTTCCCTTCTGAGTACATATTCTCTTCAAGATTGAATTAAAGGTGTGTAAAATCCTCAGACATACAAACTGATGCTGCTTAAATATATTCAAAGCGTTAAAAGAGAGAGAGACAAAAATACAAAAATGGCCTGAGTGTTGTATTTGAGAGGCAGGTCTTTGGAAGAATCTTGCTCATTATTACTCAATATTTTCCAGTTTTATTTTTATTCAACTTATAATTCTTTAAAAATATTTTTAACTAAAATTACTATAAGAAAAATTGTACTGATATTTTCTCTGTCTCTCTTTCTGTCTGTCTCTACCGTAGTGAAGAATAGCTGAAATATTTTCTGTAACCATCCAACTTTTACATTTAGAGGTCAGGGAGCCTACTGTGAAGGTTCTGTATCTCTTTCAGACTTAGCCTTGAGCTTAATCATGTTCATGTTGAATTTTCTTGCCTCCAATGTGAAGAAACACATTCTGTAATTTTTTATATAGTTGGTCCTAGATGAATTTAAAAAAAAATCTGATAATAGATTAGCTTTCTTTTTGATCTGCTCAGAGTTTATTTCTGGGAAGAAGGCAAGTGACTGGAATACATATTTTACAAAACTCCTTTCTGCAATAGCAGAGTACTAAATCCTTACTTGGATGCATTTACGTGTACAATGACTTCCTTTTTACATCAGAGTATATGCCAAAAATCTGCCCTCGCAATTAGTGACTTCCTTTTGAAGCGATTAAATGTTATTGGACAGCCTTCTGTAATTCCTTGCCTTATTTTCTGGCTTTAGGCAATCACTCTGTGTGCCAAGACCTCTACAAGGAGAAATGTAAGCTCAAGGATATCGTTTCCATAGTAGCATGACTCTCCACTGCACTAATAGCCACAATTGTAGCCACTCATGCCAACTTAAGCTTGATACCTTCAGATAAGATGGCTAAGTAGTCTACTTCAACTATTGGAATGATTCAATCAAATCATCTTTCTTCTCTCCTTCAAAACTATCCTTGAATTCCAACTCTACTCAGGCATTTTTGATTAAGTGGGAGTGAGATGTGTTTAAATAGCTGGTTCTTACACAATCATACAAATATCTTCTTGACTTTTATCCTTGCCACAGATATAAATAAACACTAGAGAATGAATGAAGCAAAAAGAGATGTGGCATTAACGAACATTTGAAGACAGTCTACATCTCACTTCCTCTCGTCTAATGCTGCTATAATCTCCTTGAGAGCAAGACTGACCATTTATGTCTGATATATGAAAGTGTTTAAAAATGCTAATTTAGATAAGCTACTTTCAAGTCAATTACTTGTCTGCTCTGTGTTTGTGTATTATAACTCCTTGCCTAGGCCTTACATTAATATTTTTTCTCCACTGTCTTCTGAAACTGTTGGGGTAGATCAGATGACAAAATTTGGATAACTAATGCTACTAGTTTTTACACTTTGTGGGAGAGTCACTTAATTAATGTTTACTCTTTATTATGACCAACTGCTTTTCTTTAACCAGGATCCCTTCAGAAGGCCCTGACTGAATGTTATTAGTGTAGAAGTGGACAGCCGTGAAATCATAATTATCTTAAACTTTTACGCCAAGTTTGCTCATGCTGTGTGCATGGATTATTAAAAGGAAGCTTTAACCCAGCAAAAAGCAACAGGTTCTCTTACAAAGTAAACATTTTCCAGTTTAAAACTTTTCCTCAATTAGACATGTAGTCCTCTTCGATTTCTCCTCAATTCAGAAGTTTTTTTGGCATTTTATTTGAATTCACTCTGATCGTGTATGTCCCTAGAAATGATTTTTATCAAAAAGACAAAACATGAGGTTTCCTGAATCTGAAGTAAAATTTATAAAGGGGAGGTTACAGCTCTCTAAACCTTAGTTGGCAAATATTTGCTGGTGATTTTCTAAGAAATACAAAAATGGATCTAGTTTAAAATTGAAGGTAACCTGTAATGTTTAGGAAATAGTTTTTAAATTTTCACTGTCTTATATGCTTCTCTGTGTATTGGTCCAATAGCAGTTCAATGAAGACAGCCTCACAATTGGTTTGCAATTTTGAATGAAGACTGTTAAGAGAGAAGACCTTAACTTGTAACAACACATTACAAGTAAATGAAATAGGATTAGACTTTATGGTATTTTCTTGCCTCTTAGTCATTTATTTAGCTCTTTAAAAAATTGATCTTCCTAGAAAAAAAATTTAAAACCAATGAGAACCGATAGAGTGACTAAAATTGGCTTCTTGAACTGGTAATTTGACTTATTACTATTAATATTGTTAAAAATAAGAAACAATGAAATAATAATAACTTTAAATGTTAATAAAACACATATTCCCAATTTGAGGTCCTAGACCCACTGGGAGTTCATGGCTTTAGTAATTGTTATTGTTTACAACATTTTAAAACAATCTAATAAGGATAATATTATATTTCTTGATTATTATAAAGCATAACATATTTATCTGATTAATAAAAGTAAGAACAACAGTTAGATATTAATTTATATATATGTACATATATATGTATAACTTGATTGGTAGAGAAATTCTTTGAGCTATGGAAGTGAGTGATAATAAAAGGAAATTCTGAAGCCATTAGAATATTTATCGTTAAATAACTCACTTGACTCTTACCCCACTCTGTGAAGTTGGCATTTGGGTGTATAGTTAGCTCCATTCTGTAGACCAGGCTACAAAACTTTGTGATTCCTATTTGTATTATTTGTCCTTTCAAGTACCCAGGTCTCCCTTCCATGATTTCTTTATTTCATAAGAATTTTATTGAAGTAAGAACTAGTTCAGGAATAACATTATGCCAAATCACTATAGCAGTATTATATATAGTGCTTAATTTGTGTTCATCATGGAGCTTTTAGTCCAGATGGGGATAAAAGTATTTTATCCACATGAAAAATAACAGAAAAAGGACATGGGGGGCAAAGTATAACTTGTTTGTGTTTCTGTCAAGTATAGCTACAATGATATTAGATATATAACTTGAGATGTCCTACTCAAGTAATAAAAATTTTTAATGAAAATAATATATTACTATAACAAAAAGGATACTGAGATGCAATAAATGATTATCAGACAATGAATGATGTAGATAATATGAATTGGCAAGAAGAAAGACTCATTATAAGTGTAGTTAGAAGTATGAAAAATAATTTATGGATGTAAGCTTGGCTTTGAATGATTGATCTACAGTGACGAGAAAAAAGTCTGGGGCAGGATAACAACTCTGTCATGTGGCATCTTCTTTCCCTGTAAGCTGTTATATGTCAGTATGTTCTAATACGTCATGTTTTTGGCATTCTTTAATGGAAAGAAAAAGTAAACTGGAAAGAAATATGTACATGTATGAGGAATAAAACATTTACAATAGATAAATAATAATTTACCCCACCCTACCAAAAGTGAGCAAATGAAGAATTAAATCATTCTGTATCACATATGTATTTAAAATGAAATTGGCTTCAAATTATCAGAGACCACACTCCTATACACACAAGAATCAGCAAAGAGAGGGAGCAAGAGCCAGAGGGAGCTATTTAACAAGAGAATAGTGAAGAGCATGAGGGTGGGGCAGAAGAGATTGAAAGAATCTGGTGAAATGGGTCAGGAAAATCATGGTGGTTCTAAACCAAAAATTTGGAAGAGATCTCTACACAAAGATCAGAAAACAGAATTGGATGGGATCTGCTGATCGCCAAGTAACAGGTGAATAAGGAATCTGAATCCAATTTTCTCTCTCTACCTGAGCCTGGCCAGGTATAAACATTCAACAGCCTCTTGATAGACTATGGTGCCCATCCATGAAAAATCTCTTATCTGGACATTCAGTAGTTCTTGACCTTGAAAGTAGTTCCAGATTGATAAATGATGATTTCTCAAAGAAAAATGCAATTATCACACTTCACTATAACCCCAAACACACAGATGTATACACATACACATGGCATAAAAAGGTTTAGTTACATACATGGAAAGACCCATGAATGTGTGACATACTCATCCTACCAGCAAGTCATGGATAACAATGGTGCACTTGATACATTCAGCATAATTACAGACACCGGTTCCTGTGCCTGTTCTGCTCTGAAATTGCCCAGAGAACAGAGCTAATGCAGTGTTTAGCAGGAAATTTATAGCACAAAATGCCCACAGGAGAAAGTGGGAGTGATCTAAAATCGACCCCCTAACATCACAATTAAAAGAACTAGAGAAGCAAGAGGAAACAAATTCGAAAGCTAACAGAAGACAATAAAGAACTAAGATGAGAGCAGAACTAAAAGAGATAGAGACATGAAAAACCCTTCAAAAAATCAATGAATCCATGAGCTGGCTTTTTGAAAAGATTAACAAAATAGATAGACTGCTAGCCAGACTAATAAAGAAGAAAAGAGAAAAGAATCAAATAGACACAATAAAAAATGATAAAGGGGATCTCACCACTGATCCCACAGAAATACAAACTACCATCAGAGAATACTATAAACACCTCTACGCAAATCAACTAAAAAGTCTAGAAGAGATGGATAAATTCCCGACACATACACCCTCCCGAGGCTAAAGCAGGAAGAAGTCGAATCCCTGAATTGACCAATAACAAGTTCTGAAATGTTGGCAGTAATTAATAGCCTACCAGCCAAACAAGCCCAGGACCAGACAGATTCACAGCCGAATTCTACCACAGGTACAAAGAGGAGCTGGTACCGTTCCTTCTGAAATGATTTCAAACAATAGAAAATGAGGGACTCCTTCCTAACTAATTTTATGAGGCCAGAATAATCCTAATACCAAAACCTGGCAGAGACACAACAACAACAACAACAACAACAACAACAAAGAAAATTTCAGGCCAATATCCCCTATGAGCGTTGATGTGAAAATCAAAATACTGGCAAACCGAATGCATCTGCACATTAAAAAGCTTATCCACCACAGTCAAGTCGGCTTCATCCCTGAGATGCAAGGCTGGTTCAACATAGGCAAATCAATAAATGTAATCCATCACATAAACAGAACCAATGACAAAAACCACATTTATCTCAATAGATGGAGAAAAAGCCTTCAATAAAGTTCAAAATTCATGCTAAAATCTCTCAATAAACTAGGTATTGATGGAATGTATCTCAAAACAATAATAGGTATTTATGACAAACCCACAACCAGTATCATTTTCAATAGGCAAAAGATGGAAGCATTCCCTTTGAAAACTGGCACAAGACAAGGATGCCCTCTGTCACCACTCCTATTCAACATAATATTGGAAGTTCTGGCCAGGGAACTCGGCCAAGAGAAAGAAATAAAGGGTATTTAAATAGGAAGAGAGGAAGTCAAATTGTCTCTGTTTGCAGATGACATGATTGTAAATTTAGAAAACCCCATGTTGCAGCACCAAATCTCCTTAAGCTGATAAGCAACTTCAGCAAAGTCTCAGGATACAAACTCAACATGCAAAAATCACAAGCATTCCTATACAGCAATAATAGACAAACAGAGAGCCAAATCATGAGTGAACTCTCATTCACAGTTGCTACAAAGAGAATAACGTAACTAGGAAAACAACCTACAAAAGATGTGAATGACCTCTTCAAGGAGAACTACAAACCACTGCTCAAGGAAATAAGAGAGGACACAAACCAATGGAAAAACATTCCATGCTCATGGATAGGAAGAATCAATATGGTGAAAATGGCCATACTGCCCAAAGTAATTTATAGATTCAATGCTATCCCCATCAAGCTACCATTGACTTTCTTCACAGAATTAGAAAAAAAAAACTACTTTAAATTTCATATGGAACCAAAATAAGAGCCTGTATAACCAAGACAATCCTAAGCAAAAAGAACAAAGCTGGAGGGATCATGTTACCTGACTTCAAACTATACTACATGGCTACAATAACCAAAACAGCATGGTACTGGTACCAAAACGGTTATATAGACTAATGGAACAGAACAGAGTCCTCAGAAATAACACCACACATCTGCAACCATCTGATCTTTGACAAACATGACAAAAATAAGCAATAGGGGAAATGATTCCCTATTTAATAAATGGTGTTGGGAAAACTGGCCGGCCATATGCAGAAAACTGAAACTGTACCTCTTCCTTACACCTTATACAAAAATTAACTCAAGATGGATTAAAAACTTAAATGTAAGACCTAAAAATATAAAAACCCTACAAGAAAACATAGGCAATACCATTCAGGACATAGGCATGGGCAATGCCTTCATGACTAAAACACAAAAAGCAATGGAAACAAAAGCCAAAATTGACAGATGGGATCTAATTAAACTAAAGAGCTTCTGCACAGCAAAAGAAACTATCATCAGAGTGAACCAGCAACCTACAGAATGGGAGAAAATTTTTTCAATCTATTCATCTGACAAAGGGCTAATATCCAGAATTTACAAGGAACCTATACAAATTTACAAGAAAAAAACAACCCCATCAAAAAGTGGGCGAAGGATATGAACAGACACTTCTCAAAAGAAGACATTTATGTGGTCAACAAACATATGAAAAAAAGGTCATAATCACTGCTCATTAGAGAATCGCAAATCAAAACCACAATGAGATACCATCTCAGGCCAGTTAGAATGGTGATCATTAAAAGGTCAGGAAACAACAGATGCTGGAGAAGATGTGGACAAATAGGAATGCTTTTACACTGTTGGTGGGAGTGTAAATTAGTTCAACCATTGTGGAAGACAGTGTGGCAATTCCTCAAGGATCTAGAATCAGAAATAACATTTGACTCAGCAATCCCATTACTGGGTATATACCCAAAGGATTATAAATCATTCTACTATAAAGACACATGCACACATATGTTTACTGCAGCACTATTCACAATAGCAAAGACTTGGAACCAACCCAAATGCCCATCAATGATAGACTGGATAAAGAAAATGTGGCACATATACACCATGGAATACTATGCAACCATAAAAAAGGATGAGTTCATCTCCTTTTCAGGGACATGGATGAAGCTGGAAACCATCATTCTCAGCAAACTAACACAGGAACAGAAAACCAAACACCGCATGTTCTCACTCATAAGTGGGAGTTGAACAATGAGAACACGTGGACACAGGGAGGGGAACATCACACACCGGGGCCTTGTGGGGTGGGGGGCTAGAGGAGAGATAATATTAGGAGAAATACAAACTAATGTAGATGATGACTTGATGGGCACAGCAAACCACCATGGCACGCGTATACCTATGTAACAAACCTACACGCTCTGTATATGTATCCCAGAACTTAAAGTATGATTAAAAAAGAAAAAAGTGCCCAGAGAAATCTTGGCTGTCTATCAGTAATATGTATGGGAGAGTCCTTGCCAAAAAAACAAGAATGGGAATCCTTATTATAGACAATGCCTGGGGTGGTGGATGTGTTATATGCAGAGCTATGGTGGCCCGACCAGAACACCTGGCTAAGGAATACTGGAATGGGCTGGCATTTTCTTTGTGTATGTATTGTTTAGTCTAAACAAGTATAATGATAGTTCTCTCTTCTTCTTATATTATTCTTTTTTATTTACTGTATTTTGTTCCTTCCACTAAATCATAAACCCCTATGTCACCTATCTTTATTTCTCTTGCGTGTATCATAATTTTTTCTCTCTCTCTGTCTATGATGCATGATCAATGACTACTTTTATCTTGAATTATCCATAGATCTCTTTCATTCCTAAAATAATAAAACTATAATAAACATGTATGTGATAGAAATAACAAGAATTATGTATATGATAATAGTAAGCTTAGGCATGTTTTTTAAATGGGTAAATACAGGTACCTCATTATTAACAAAATACATGTTTGAGAATACATGTACAAATAAAATATATTTTTGGGAATACATCTGAGGCTTGTACATGGATTCCTTTTATGTTGTTATAAACATTATTTGTTCTGAGATATCAATGTTCTTTAAGCATTTTGAGATTAAAGATATACAATGGCAATTATCTCTTGATGTATTTGTATTACAGGAGATCTCTTAACCAGTTGACCAATCAACCATCACTCTGTTCCATCTAGTCTTACTGAGGCCCACTGATCAGTAGACCTCCTCGACATTCAATGTTCTTCTCCCATCAGCTAAATTATATATTTATTAGGTGTCTAGTATTTTTCCAAACATACTTATGTCAGCTTTACATTCTATTGTAATTATATATTTTAACTAATTACTATTCAAAACAAACAAATAATGAGAACAAAAGAAAAAGATTTTAATAAAAACTATGTTGAATGCTTTGAAAATATGTGTTAATGGTGAGCTGTAAAATATGCTGTTAAATTCGGTCGGCGGTGAGACAACTGTAAAAGATTTAGTGTAAGTTGTAAAATCTGAAAGAAATCCCATGCTCAGATTTTTCACAGGTATCTTAAATATTTTTGACTGTTTGTTTAAATAATGGGCCTATTCAAAGAAAACACCTTGAGCTTACATCAAAATGGTGGTACATACATGTACATTTGTAAGCTTTAAATTAAAATAAAGTGTTGATGGTATGTATATATTTTTAGAAAAATAATGATCCTCTTTAATAGACTTTTAAATATTGACTTACTCTCAGGTGGCTAGATATAGGAATTCTACTTTTTATTTGCTCTTGAATTTGCTCAGTTTCACATAGCACTTATTTCTGGTTCAGATAGTTAAGATGGTCCTCTCAAAACCTCAGGTTGAGTTCATTCTTCATGTAGTAATTTATTTATTTTATTGTGACTGCATGCTTAAAACAATACATAAGGATGCAGTGGCTATGTTCAGTGGCCTGGTCATTGCCCTCAGTGAACTTGCAGTTGAATAGCAAAGATATTACCCATACATACAACTATAGTCAAGGACTCATCACATGAGTTGTACAAAGCATGACAGGTGGTTCATGTCCACAAGGGCAAATGAAAGACATTTCTTTATTCAACAGATATGTTTAGAAATACCTGTTAAGTACCAGGAACTATGCTTATGCCCAAGGACATGATGGTGAATACAATAAACAAACTCTTGCTTCATGAATGTATTTAAAGTGCTCCTGGAATGTAAGGTAGGAAGGATTCTGATACATGGACATAGAGTGAAGAAAACAAATGGTGACACAGGTGAGTGGCTTGAGCAAAATTTTTAAAAAGCTCAAGATTGATTGAGGGATTAATCAATTGACTGAGGGATAGTTTGGCTACTAGGGGATGAGGTACCTGTGAAAGTATAGTGTGAGATAAAGCTGAAAAAGTATGAAACCTCTTTATGGTGTAAGGAAAATCTTTTGAAACTTGTTACTCTTCCTTTTGAGCCTGCAGTGCAGGGTGCTCAGGCACCATGATTCCAAGTTTCTGCACGATCAATTTTGCCATCTATTCTGAGTTCAAATCCCCCTTTGTAGTCTTTGGGACATGGTCAACAGCCAAAAACTTGTCTTGTAAGTTTGGTTTGTTCTTAAACATCTTGGGCTGGAATCAACACAGGATGAGGGAGAAGAAATGGAGCTTCCAATCCATATTGCTCAATGCAGGATGTCAGGTCCTGCTGTAGTACTCTACTTACTGCTAAAAGTACATGATAAACAGAAAGAACAAGAGGGGAGAAACCAGAAGCATTTCTAACTCTATTTTGGTCTTATAATTCCTTGTTCTTAATAGTGTGTTTTGCTCTCCTGAGTCTTACATACAAAGGTGTCATCTAGATTTGGAATTTATAGCTTCTTCTTTTTTGTTATTTGCTTTTATAGCTTAGGCTTTACAAAATATAAGACTATGTCTATATAATGCCCCAAAAGATTTATTGGGTAACAAATTTACTTGGCCCTTTGCATCCTGATGGCAAAAGCAATTTCTTTAGACAGAATAGTTTATTTTCTTTTCAGTTGCAAATGGGAATATTTTAAGGCTAAAAATTTGTTTTGCTTCAACAGGGAATATTATAGCTCCTGATTTCTGACACCTGTAAACATTCCACCTCAGTAGAAGTCCTTCTTTGGCCACGGTTTAATGTGACTCAGATGACCCCAGGCTATATTAAAATTAACCAATCCTTACGCGTTTTAAATCCTAAAATTTTTCTTTAGGTTTAGGTAAATAGTTAAAAAATTATAACATCTAAGGGAGAGAAAGTGTTATTGTATGGAACAGAGTTGGTGGGAAATGTTGCCTTTAGTTGTATACTAAGTTACGGCACTATGTTAGGAATCAGAAAGGCTGAGTTCTATATTTTTTTTTGAGCTGTATGAATTTGGATACATTGTTTGAGTTTCAGAGGCTTTAGTCCTTCTTGCAAAACTGGGGTAGGGGAATGAGATTAGGGAAAGGCAGAGGATGGGTGGTGGTATTTGAGATAATCACGGACAAACCTTCATTGAGTGCTTAATGTATGTTAGGAAATTTATATATCTTATGTCAGTAGATTCTCTTGACCCTAGGGAAAGCACTAGAGCTCAGAAAAGTTATTTACCCAGGGCCACACCTTGGTGAGTGGAAAAGCCCACATCTGTCTGATGTTACAGCTAGATTTTTCTTCTACACCACAGTGCCTCATCTAAAGTCCTTTCAAGCACCGAAGTTCTTTCACTTGAAGCTCTACTGTTTGGTTTCTTGACACATCAAATTACAGCGTTTCCTTTTTTAGCTCTAAACTTCCAGGATAAAATAATTCAAAGGCAAGAAGATAAATTTCTACCTTCTGAAATTGTCTCCATTGCTATATTAATGAGACCATGCATGTGAAGTAGCTGTATAACCACAAAATATTATTATTATTAGATGAGCACAATTACTCTAGGCCTTTCAATCTGGAGTTGGACTTGTTTTATTTCAGAAACCCGCAAAAATCTGCATTCTTGTTTTTCATTTTCTGATTCCACATAAATTATGTAGCCATTTCCTAGATCTGTGAAAACTGCTCTGGCAGGCATTGGGACAGTCAAAAGAAACCCACAGGCCAGATTGCAAAGTCTATTATGGGAGATATTGTGCATATCACCTTCTCTTGCCTAAAGTCAAGTAGTCACAGTATAATATAGGCAGGAATGAATGACAGTTGTATACCACTACAGGATGATAGTTCTCTAGTTTAGAGAAGGGGAAAAAACAGCTCTAATGTAGGAAGGGCAAAAATAGGCAACCCATCTGTTAAAAAAATCATCTTTCCTTTTTCAGCTCAGTGTCTCAGTATAGTATCCTAAGGGGTCTCTGGACAAAAGGCACTTCTACAGACATAGATCTAATTGTACTTGCAATGCAAGGTTTTTTTCTTTCTTTCTTTTGGCTTCTGCTGCTACTCAGAAAAGGAGACTCCAAATGAAAGAGGGGGCGGGGTAGGAAAGAGACTTCTAGGAATTCCTGGACTCATCAGAACACAAATCATCCTATGGAATGCAAATGACTTAACAGTAATACAGGGAAGCTTCCCAAAGCGAATTACAATCCCATTACTGAGAATTAGCAATGGAAGTTGACAGGCTTTATAAACTTTGAGATTTTGTTGGAGTGGAAGGCAGCTGTAGGGAGGGGAAAAAAATGCCCTCAGGTAAAAAGCTAGAAAGGGTTTCTATTATTTATTTTACTTACGCTATGTAAGTATGTAACTATGTGAATTTGTGACCAAATTAGCTTTTTAGAACAATAGTGATGATGGAGAGTTACATAATTTCTACCTGTGTATACAAATATGTCCTGTCCGTATATACAGGTATGTCTTCCACCATGATATTAAGAAGGATGTCATCCACACGAATATATAATAAATTGAACGTCAAAGAATGTGGGCAAAGTTTTGCATTCAGAAATTTCCAACAAAACATACTAAACACACACGCGCACACACACACAAATCTTCAAGTTTAGATTTCCTGAACTCTGGCAAGGTATCAGACTGACCTGTAGCCCCATGCACATGCAAATTAAAGCCTCTGGGGATAGGGCCTGAATGTCTGCTATTTATGCAATTTCTACAAGTTCTTTACCCAACCAATTTGAGAACCACTTTCCTATGTTGTAAACAGTGTACCTGAACTAAAGTGAAGGGCGTGGGCAGAAATAACATGGGATACATTCATTCGCTGAAAAAAAATGAATATTTATGCAAACGGTCTCTAAGCATATATTACATCTAAGAAAACTTTGATATCTGGACAATTGATATATGAATGCATAAGCTCCCTCTGACCACACGCAAACAAGTAATTATTCTACTGCTAGCTATACTCGAGAAATGTCTGCCCATCTAGCACTCTGCTAGGCTCTGTGATTAATACATGATAATTGGCAGCGGTGTTTACAAATCAATTTGGAAAATCATGACAAAGACATAGAAATTAATTAGGATTGATTATTTAAAGTAATACAGAAACAAACAGAAAGATATTATAGCCAGTAAGTATATATTGCAGGAAAATATCTAATTTAGGCATCAAGAACAATTTTGAAAGAATTTTAAAGAATTGTTGGAAGTCATTCTAAGTATAATGTAGGGAGATCACAAAGTCTGATGCAACACATTTTGTGGCTCTGGCAAATCCAAATATAAACTACAAGATTTAGCAAGTCATGCGATTTCCTTGAAACTCAGTTTTCTTATCTTATAATGAGGTTTGGACTAGACAAGTTGTACTCCATGGGCGTGGCTGGGGTGGGGGGAAATTAGTTTCCCAGGCAACATATAGGATTTCTGGAGATATTTTTGTTTGTCATACTTTGAGGAGAGGGGTCTGCTAGTGGCATGTAGTGGGTAGAGGTCAAGGACACTGCTCAACATCTTGCAATAAAAAGGACAGCCCCATACAACAAAGAATTATCTGGGCCAAAATGTCAAGGGTGCTGAGGCTGAGAAACTGGACTACATGAGCAAACAATTTCTCACAACTCTTAACACTTTGTGGTTCTTATAGAATGATTTTTCAATCATTAGAGGGCAAAAGAATCACCTAGATATACTAGTAAAATGCAGATTCCTGGACTCCAACATCCAAATATATTAATAGACTAGGTTGTGTGTATGACTAAGTAATCTGGAATTTTAACATGTACACTGTGATTCTATTGCATCTGGGTTCTTAAATTGATTGTATTTTGAGAAACCTTACTAAGACATGCATTAACATTGAAGAAATCAAGGTTGATCCTTGAAAAACAATACCACTAGACATTATTTATTAAGTACTTCATGAGTTATACTCACAAAAGTCCTTTGAGACTTTTGCAAGGTCTCTCCATTTGTTAAAGGCATGGTAGGACTTGAATCCATCTAGTTCTAGATTCAAAGTCTATGCTCTGGCCACTTGCAAATTGCCTCCTGAGAATGGAACAGACTTGGCAAGACAAACAAGCAGCAGATAAAGGAAGTGCATGGGGAAAAAAGAAGACTGAGCAATCTAGAAGAAAGTGTCTCCATTGGGGATTGAAAAAAAAATAAATTGTTAAAGGTAAGATAAGAAATTTCAGAAGACCTTACATTTTAAAAATGAAGAATCTGAATTCTGTCTGGTAGGTTAGTGTTTTTCAGCCCTGGTTGCAGATTAGGATGGCCTGAGATCTTTAAAATACTCCGGATGCTAGGGCTGCAACCCAAAAATTGTGATCTAATTGGTTTGGGGTGGGATGATGCGTCAGCAAAAGTCCTCAGGTGATTCTAGTATGGTTCTAGAAGACCATAAGGAGCAGCTATAACTCATAAGCAGGTGAGAGTCTTGAAGAAACTGTTAACAAGATTAACCTGGTGGTAACGTATAAACTAGATTAGAGCAGTGAATGGAGGAAAGGGATCAGGTAGAAGGCTATTGTAGAAATCTAGGGGTGTGGCAATAAAGACCCATACTAGAGAGATGGATCAGGAATGCTGCTAGAGTCAGGAGACCTCCTTCAGGTCTGCTAATGTTGCTTTCACTGGCCTATCGTATGTCATAAGAAAAGTCACTTAACTTGTCTTTGTCTGCATTTCCCACTAATGCTCGAAGAGCTAACATAGCCCTTGAACATATCACAGCATTAGAGATAATTAAAAGTATTTCAGAAAGTATAATGCACAACACGTGTTTATTATGAAAAAGGTGGCAGTAAAACTGAAAAAAAAACATAGAGACATCTTAGACACATTTACACATTGTCGTGGTGAGACTGATGATCAACTGAAATTGGAGAAGAGAGAATTAAATATACTTCTAAAAGTTCTTGAAGCCTGTGAAACAGGGAAGTTGGAAAAGGGGAATAATTCCTGAAGAAAATCACGTGGGTATAGATAAGAAGTTCTCAACTGGGTCAGTTTTTCCCTCCAGGGGGCATTTGGCAATGCCTGGAGATGTTTTTGGTTGTCATAACTAGGAGGATGAGGGTTGTGCTACTGTCAGCTGGTGGACAGAAGCTAGGGATGTTGCTATAAATCCTATAGTGCACAAGACAGCCCCACACAGTAAAGAATTATCTGGTACAGTATGTCAGTAGTGCCAAGGTGGAGAAACCTAGCATAGATATTACAAACAGTTGGAAGGGACCAATATTCATTATCATGTAAATACATGGATGAATAAAATGAAATTCAGAGATTGAATGACTTAGTTAAGGTCCCCAACGAGTGGAGGCCACAGTAACAGAACTGAAATCCAGCTTTCCTAACTACTAGTCAGTGCTCTTCAGAGCGGCCCCATCTGCCTACTCACCCAACTCAGCCCTGGCCCTGAGTCATCCAGTTTGAGATGCTTGGTACCCAGCTGGGAAGTCTAAGCTGAGGGCTAAGCACGAGGTTAGTGGTGGAGGTTTCCATCCTCGTGTAGCTGTAATAGACCTTTTATTTCCAAGTAACTTAAAGAAATTATAACAGAAGATATAAACCAAGAAGTGCAGAGGAACCCAGAGGGCTCTTGGAGGGAAGGTCAGAAGTGCCAGAATTGTTTTGACCCAGTGACTTTGAAATCAAATAAAAAGGAATGGCACACGCTGTGAAGCGCAGCATCAAAATCAAGTAGGATGAGGCTTCAAAAGGCCATTGGACTTTTTGGTGGAGGTCATGGTGACATTTGGAGAAAAATTTCCATAGAGTTGTTAGGAAAGCACTGGAGATTTCTGAGAGGGAGAGGAGCAATGAGGTGATGAAGATGTGCGGCTAGCATGTTCCAAGAGCTTCCTCGTGAAAAGGAGAAATTCAGGACTTATGGGACAGCAAGGTCAAGTCAAGGATTTAAGAAGGCAAGAGCTTCACCTGTGTTTGCTGAGAGCAGAGGGGACTTTGGCGGCGTTGGATAGACTTGGCACAGACACACAGCGAAGAAGAGCCGCGGCGATGCCGTTCTGTGAGCACTAGATGGCAGTAGCGGGGCCCTTTCGGCTCGGTTCGCGGTCCTATAAGGCGCTGCTTGTTTAAGTACATCGCATTTAGTTGAAGCTGCAGGGGAGTGAGGGAGAGGAGGATAGGAAGCAGGAAAGCGGGAGAGCTCGAGGGACAAGGGGGCTCGGTGTGTTTACACCAGGCACGGGCTACGAGCGTCCATCCCGGCCCCTGGCTTGCGCTCCCGAAGAGGAGAGCAAGGCTGTTCTGGGATCCGGCCGTCGTGCGGCAAGAGGCTTGTCTGTCCGGGTTGCCGGAACCAGGAGAACCCAGAGGGAAACCGAGGGAAAGGAGCGGCGCGTTTTACTAGAGAGAGCGCGAGCGGAAGAGGCGAGAGCAGGAGCGCGCGAGGGAGCATCGAGCGCAGCGGAGACATGAGGACCTACTGGCTGCACAGCGTCTGGGTGCTGGGCTTTTTCCTGTCCCTCTTCTCATTGCAAGGTAGGGGGAGGATTCCCTGACCCCTTGCGCCCCCTCCTCCCTGCCGCCGGGCTCCGGGGTGGTCGGTGGAGTAAGAAGCGCTCCGGTTCTGGATGGAACAGGGTTTATTTACAAGTCCTGCGGTGCGCTCCCTGCCCTGCCAGCTCTGCGCCCAGGCTGGGTCCTGAGGCGTGCGGGATTGTGCGGACAGACTTGCTGCAACATCGGTGTTGATGGGGAAAGAAGCCAGGGCTTGTGTGTGTGTGTGTGTGTGTGTGTGTGTGTGTGTGTGTGTGCGCGCGCGCGTGTGAACGGGGGGCAGGATAGAGCGGCGTGTTTTGTGTGTGTGTGTGTGTGTGTGTGTGTGTGTGTGTGTGTGTCTTGGTGGGGTGGGGGCTTTTGCGCGAGGTGGTGGCGACGGAGCTGGGGTTGCTCCTCTGTAAACTCCAAGAGCCGCGGTGGTGTTCGCTATCCCCGTGTCCCCGGTGCTGATATCACTGCATTCCTCCTCTTTCAGGAGGGAATTGGCATTAAGTTTAGGAGGCTAGGTATCCGCTTGGCACCTGGTACTTGTATCTCTCTGCAAAATAGCCCCACCAGATTCTTCTGCCCCGAGATGGAGGAGGGATGCGGGAGGGAAGGGAACGGTGAGTGGGGTGGGGGGAGGGGGACACGGGGAGGGGGGGAGGAGGAGAAGAGGGAGGGAGGAAGAGAGTGGGGTGGGGGAGAGAGAGAGAGAGAGAGAGAGAATGAATACGAGAATTCACGGGTAATCGCTGCGCTGGCTCATAATGGTCAATGTATTTCATGCTTGCAGGACAAAATTGCTAGCGCTGGGTGTTTACTTTGAAGGGATTGTAGGTTTCTATGTTTTGGGGAGGTTGTAAAATAAATTCATGAAGGTTAAAAATGAAAATACATACATGGTGTTTGCATTTCACTTACAAGCTGGCATCCAGAGCCCTCACTGATGTTAAACATACCTATAATACACGAAGTAATTCCAACATAAAAATATATTATCTTTTTAATCTTCCTGTCTCACTCTTCCTGCTCGTGAGAGGAACCTTGCACAATTAGCCATAGAGAGTCTGTGCTATATTGCTCTACCACTGACGGTTCTACTACATCTTCATGTTTGGGCATTCTGCCATCATTAGGACATTTACCCACGCACATCTCTCATGCTACAGAACACACTCCATTTACACACAGTGTACACATGCACACACAAAGACACATACGCACACACACTGCCTCTCAAGAACACTTGGCATGAAATGACCAGACTGGCAATCCTACTCCTGATTTTTTTCTGACAGCTGGTTGCTAATGTTACATTGGTGGGTTTCATTTTTCATTGCTGGGGGATATTTTGTGTAGCTATAAAGCCCTCTTGCTAAATGAAAAGAGAATAGACTCCCTGGCTGTTTACTGTTGAAGCATTGCAAGGGAATGAATACTATGTCGAAGTTATAGTTTAAAATATGCTTAGGGGAACAGCTGGAACTCACCCATAATACAATTACAAGTTACAGGTTCTAAAAACTTTCTCATCTCAGAACTCACTGACCCATTCCTCTCCTATCTAATTTGTGAGCTCTTGCAATACATGATTCTTCTACTAAGCATGTCTAAATGAAAAATAGAGTCCCAATCTTGCTTTGGCTTTTTACATTTTATTTCTTTACATTTTTTCCTTCAAAGCTCACAGGACTTTCTCTGTGATTTCAGATATTGCTGCAATTCAGCTTTTTCATATTGAGACATTAGCATCGTGACTGTACTATGCCAGCAGCAGAGGTTAATCCCTTTCCTTCCTATTCCATTTAACTCTAGGAATTTAGCTCTTCTGATAAAATGCTAAGAATGATGTCATGAATACATGCTCCTCTTAAGTTTGAGTAAAACTATGGGATATTCATTACTCAGCCATGGGGTCTTATGAGTGAAAGGTACTTCTAAAGGATGAGGAAGGTGTAATGGAACACGAAACCAGATAATTATATTTCAGGAGATCTTCTATTAAAAAAAAAAGCCCCCCAGTCTTTTTCAGTGATAACATAGTAAACTATAGTAACAATTCTCTGAATTTTCTGGTCTCATTTGGGCAAAGCAAATAGCTTTTCCTCCCCGGGAATATTGTTCTTTCTAAAGAGGAGTTTTCAAGATTTTGCTAAATAGAGTTTAGCACATTGTGGGAAGTGGCCTCAGTTCTCAAGCTTTGGGATCCCCCAGTGTGTGGCACACACTAGGCAGCAGTAACGTTGAGTAATGGGATAGGAGAAGAAGGCAGTGCAGCTGGATGAGGCTAAGAAACATGGAGATCACTCGCAAACAACTGCCATACACATTATCTCCTGCCATCATCATGGCAGGGCTTGAACTGTTTCCTGACAACATGCTCTCCTCTCTCTTACACATATGTACATGTGGACACACACGTACACACTCCTCAGTGTCAAAGTATGTGGCCCTTTTGAATTGGCCCCATCCCTTGTTTACTATCTCCATTCTTCAGCACAGTTGCTTCTGCTGTTTCTTACCATTATGTTCATGGATTCACAGATTAATGCTGTTCTTGGTGTTCATTGTTAATTAGAATACATTTGTTCAAGAATGTTTAATGTAAGTACTTGAGGCTATGTGGTTCTGAGGTGGAGGGATATTTACAGAATGATTTGGGCTTGCCCCATGAGAAAAAGACTATTTAGTCTAAGTCATTATTTTGTGACCATGGGCAAGTCGGGCATATATTCTTGAGGTTCAGTAATAATTATGTTCTGTTTTTCATGAATGATATAATAATCATTATCATTATTTTGAAATAGATCATAAAAGATAGCTTAGTCAAGATGTGTTCACATGTGAATAAAAACTATAGTTTTTTCTCTGTTGTTCTTTTTCCAAATATCCTAGAGTACTTTGATATAGTTGAGTATATTCATCTATGCAATGTCCTTGTGATGTTGGTAGGGAGAACTTCTAACCTTTTGTGCAATGACGAGAAGGTTATATAATGGCCCAGCCAGGTTTCATCCTTGATATCCTGGCAACTGTAGTTTATATTAATGACATCTCCATTGATAAAGGGTCTCTGAGGTTTCCAGAAGAAAGTTTTTTAGATATTCATGAGTGTACTAATATCATCAATTTACCTGTAACTTTGATTAAGCAAAGAAAGCAAACCCATACACACACACAAACAAACAAAAAAAACCACTTTTCTCAGGACTTTCCATTTGTTCCCAGCTTAGTTTGAGGTCCTGCTTCATTGGCTTAGATCTGGCCAGGTCTGTTTGTCATCTGGCATCTGTCTCTTCTTTCTCATGCTCCAGATCCAGAGCCAGAGAGCAGCCACTGCTTTGCTCTGAGGTTGGCTCTATTTTCTCCCTTTGGCATATGGGATGGCAGTAGCCCTGTGCCCTTTTGGTACTGCAGAAGAGATGGATTCCACTTGGCCCATCCCACCCCCATCTCTGGTTCACCTGGGCATGAAGGTTTCCTTGGCTTCTGCCTGCAGCCATATTTGGGCTGCTTCCAGGAGAAGAGAAGAATGTAGTGACACTGCAGCAGAGGCAGCTTAGCCGACAAACCCCCAACCCCAACACCAGAAGAGCAGGGAGTGCTGCTGCTGATTAGTGAGGGAGCAGCAGAAATGCCTAGGATGGGAATGTTCTGTCCAACTACTATGAGGCTTCCATTAAGAGCTCTGTCTAAACTGCTCACAGCGGCACTCCCCAGCCTCCTCCCAATAGTTCCAATGAAAACGAGTTGGTGAAATCTCTTTAGAGGTTTTTGACAAGTGCCTCTGCCAAAGAATAAAAATGATACCCTTCAGGAAATATATTTTAGAGTCCAAGATGTATATTGTTTTAATATTAAGTACAATAGCAACTAATTAAAAGATTTTTTCAAGAGGCACTGTCTCTGTCACCCAGGCTGGAGTTCAGTGGCATGATAATAGCTCACTGTAACCTCAAGCTCCCTAGCTCAAAGGATCCTGCCACCTCAGCTTCCCAAGTAGCTTAGACTACAGGCACACACCACCATTCCCAGCTAATGTTGTTTTTTATTTTTCTTTTTTGTAGAAATGGGATCTTACTATGTTGCCCAGGCTGATCTTGAATTCATGACCTCAGTGACGCTCTGGCCTTGGCCTCTCAAAGCACTGTTATTACAGGTGTAAGCCACCGTGCCTGACCTATTTCTAATTTGACTTACCCAAGTAATTTTAAAAGATTTAAAGCACCATCCATAAGGTATAGTTTTCTGCTAGGTAGGATTTTTGATGTTATCTCCTTTGTTTCCAGCAACATTGGTAACCTAGAACTGAGTCAATGATGAGCATTGACTACACTATGAAGCCTCTCTGTTTAAGATACAGGAGAAACTTAGCTCCTTTAAAAAAAAAAAAAAAAAAAAAGGTGTGGTGGCTCATGCCTGTAATCCCAGCACTTTGGGAGGGAGGCTGAGACTGGCAGATCACGAGGTCCGGAGTTCAAGACCAGCCTGGTCAATATGGTGAAACTCCATCTCTACTAAAAACACATAAATTAGCTGGGTGTGGTGGCAGGCACCTGTAATCCCAGTTACTCAGGAAGCTCAGGCAGGAGAACCGCTTGAAACCAGAAGGTGGAGCTTGCAGTAAGCTGAGATCATGCCACTACACTCCAGCCTGGGCAACAAGAGTGAAACTCCATCTCAAAAAAAAAAAAAAAATTGCATTCCAAATAAGTGTTTGACCCTACTTACTTAAAAATAATACTAGGCCAGACATGGTGGCTCATGCCTGTAATCCCAGCACTTTGGGAAACAAATGCAGAAGGATTACTTGAGCCCAGGAGTTCAAGATGAGCGTTGGCAACATGGAAAGACCCTGTTTCTACAAAACAGAAAAAAATTAGCCTGGCATGGTGGTGTGCACCTGTAGTCTTAGCTATTTGGGAGGCTGAGGTTGGGGGGATTACATGAGCCTAGGAAATTGAGGCTGCAATGAACTGTTACTGCATCATTGCACTCTAGCCTGCAAGACAAGAGTGAGATCCTTTCTCAAAATAATAACAATAATAATAGTAACATTAACATTCTGAAAAATATAGACTTTACCCTTTATCGAGTGTAGTCTTCTAGATTTTATGGGTAGTGGAACAGACCTTGTAACAAGCCTTCAGTGATGATTATTACTTATAACAAAAACCCCCAGCTCAAATTACCATGACTGCAGAAAACAATATATGATATATTTTTGTGGAAGTTATTTAGTATGGTTTATTAATCTAGAAAAGCACAGTACAGCCTGGAAGTAAATAAATTGATGAGAAGTGTTTGGATTTCTTTTCTTATTTCATTTGATAACCCTCAACATCAGAAGTCTATGACTCCTTTTACACAATTCGGGTCAGATACTGAAGCCACAGCATCTTCTAGCACATAACAATATTTCTAACATGAAGATCTTTTTAAATCATAGTTGCTTACATAGTACATTTTTGTCACTGTATACCTCTCTACCCTGCTTGGCATATTTGAAATGAGGAATACAGAAACATTTTTCTTAAGTGAATCTTCATTGTGTACCATTACCTCTCCACCACTCATGATTTTCTTGTATTCTCTATCTTCTTTACTTAAAAGCGTCTATGCTGCCAACATAAGCAGTGCTCGTCTGGACACTTAGTAGGTAAGATCCTCATGTGGAAGGAACACTGAGGTACACATTAGACAACTTAGATACTGGTCTTAAATTCACTAATAATTCCTGATAAAACATAGATAATACTCTCACGGGAGTCTCAGTTTCCTCATTTACTGGATTGGGATAGTAGTGCCTGTCACATGTGATTATGCATACTTTAAAATTTATAAAGCTTTAAGAAAATGAAATATTTGCTTCTGCCAGATAAAATAAAGAGTTAAATTAAAAGGGATTATCTGGCTGCTTGCCACTAACTGAACAGAATTTACCAGTGTTCATAGCTGTCTCTTTCTCCCTTCCTCCATCCTTTCTTTCTTTCTCTGGACTTGGGTAAGAGGCATATTGAGCTCCCAGTGCTAATTTCATGCTGAAGGGAGATACCAGTATTGATACAGGGTTACATAAACTACCTCTGCCTTCTTGTTTTGCTCAAAGGGATAAAGCCAAACACAAAACAAAACAAAACAAAGTGAAACATGTCTACCTTTAATTCTGTGCTAACACCCTTTATTTGTTTTCCTTTTTTCATAAGAGTATTAAGCCTCACTTAATATTTTAGCTTGCATTATTGAGGAATAGCTGAAGGAAGGAAGAAATGTTAGGGGAACTAGATTCCAATTAACTTTGCCACTGTGGCTGTGTAACTCTGTGTGAATCACTGTTGTTTAGTAAATGAGAGTGAGAATCTCCAAGATTAATGAATCTCGCTAAGGGTGTCAGCAGACCAGAACTCTGCTGCTCAAATAACCTTCATACCTTGTCTTCTGTGTTTCTTCTTTCTTATTTTAGTGTGAAAAAAGTCAGAAACAAATAGAAAGTTATGCAAGGAAATATGCTGGCATTATTGACATGTATAATGAGTATTTGCCTTCCATTGACTATCAATTATATCAAGGACTTCTCTTGAACCATTTATAGGGCCTTATTTCAAGTGTAGAATTGGTCACATTTAAGCCAACAATACAATTTAGTTTTTAAATTGAATGAATGCCAAGTGTTTGATGAGGAAACAAGAATTTATATGGATGTCTTCCCTGATTCAGGGACCTGCCCTCTTTTCTCTATTTCAGAAGGCACTTGTGTACTCCCAAGAGTGGGTGGGAAGGGAAGTTTATTTTTCCACCTCCTGTGATATCTCCTTCCTCCAACCTGGCAGCCCTAGAAGGTATATCCTACTCCCAAGAGGAGATATTTGTGATTCTATCTCCTAAGGAGAGAACAGCAAACAGCTAGGAAAAAACCCAGATTAGCTGCCTCTGACAAATTATCAAGGGCATTCTGGCTGGGTCAGTTGAGTCCAGACAGCCCACACAACCAGGCCAGCTTTCCACTGGGGATCCTCTGTCTACATGGGAATGGAAAGAAACTGCCTGGTGATTTCTGCCTCAAGTAACAGAGATAAGACAATTCTACTGACCTGATACAAACCTGTGCTGGCATAACAGATGCAGGCTTGAAACTGCTCCTAGTAACAACTATGGTTTTGTTACTGAAATTTTAATTTCCTATCTTTCCCGTTAGGCAATAATGTGGTTTGTGATGAGGAGGAAGGTGAACGAACAGTGGGCATTCTGTGGGTTTAAAGTTATTTTTGTTGGTATGATGTGTGTAGTGTGATGAATGGGTAGTTATTTCAGCTAGCTGGGGTATATACAAGGCACAGAATATAGGAAAGTGGGGGATATGCAAGAAAAACAACTAATAGACTTCTGTTTATTTTTTTTTTCCTTCTTCCTTCCATAAATATTTGTTAAGCCTTAAGCAAACACATTCATAAACCTTATAGCAAGGGAGACAGACACATAAAAGATAATAAATTAATTGCCACTGTGATAATACCTAAAGAAGGAGAGTTTAGGGTACTATGAAATTATATTTTAGGGAGACTCAGTTTAGTCTGGGGAGTTAAGAAAGTCTTTGCTTAAGGAATTAACATGTAATTGGAGTTTAAATTATGAGTAGGAGTTAGCTATGTGCAGACGCAGGTGGAGAGAGCTTTAACAGCAATGAGAAGTCTTGCCAAGGCTTTAAGGTATGAAAGAGACCAACATAACCCAGGAACTGAAGGAATAGAAGGAGTGCAAGGACCAAAGAGGAAAGTGACAGAAGGTAAGTCTGGAGGAATTAAGTAAGCCCAACACTGCAGGGCCTTTAGGGACATTGCAAGAATATGGGATTTAGTCCAAAGGGGAAATTGAGGGAAAGCACTGATGAGTTTTAAAGCAGGAAGGTGCCACTTGAAGTAGGAGCTTTTAGAAGAGGACTCTGGCTGCCGTGTGAGAAAAGGATGAGTAACTGGGAAGAAGCTGATTTAGAGGCTTTCACTATGTAACAAGAAAGAAAATGGTGGTGTAGACTAAGATTGTGACATTGGAGATGAGGTGAATACACAGAAGAGAGATTCAGGGATGGAATCAACAGGGCTTAGTTCACAGAGGATCTCTTGTATGTAGGTGTGTAAACAACCATTGCAGGTTAGGCACGGGATACAAACTTTACAGTTTAAAGTGGCTGTGCATAGATTTGCCTATCACCTATTACCTACCTATTATCAACAACTCTGTGAGGTCATATTCTATAATTTCCACTCTTTAGCTGAGGAAAGAGGCTTAATGCAAGTAAAAACCGGGCTTGGTTTTGAACCCTGGGCCTCTGTCTCCAAATGCAGTTTCTTTTCCTTATATCATGCTGCCAACCCTAAGCAATAGTATAAAAGAGAACGACTTACAGAATTAAAAGAAAAGTCATGTTTGACTAACCACCTATGTGGCCTTGGGCAAGTTACTCTCTGATTCTGGAAATAATCTCTAAGGTGTCTTTGAGCTCAAAAAATTAGAACGAGTCTATGATTTTATTCCGATTGGGGAGAAGTCTAGTCTTAATTAGCAAAATGGCTCAATTAAATACTATTTTTAAAGAAGTACCATTTTATTACATTCAAATACATACAAAAAGACTAATTCCCAACAAAATCTTTTCAAGGAGAAGATCTTGCTGACCTAATTTTATAGCCAGATTTAAAAGAGCCAAACTTAAAAAAAACTTGGTAGCAGCACCATTTATTTATAATTAAGTCACTAAAATCATATAATCAGCTCTTTCTTGGTACATATTAAACCTTATTTCTATAAAAATTTATACCACTGGACATTTAAGCTTAATTCAATATGAATTTTTTTAGTGTCTAGTATTCTTAAGAAATAGTTTCCTAAGATCTGTAGATGAAGTGTGATAAAGTATAAAGCAGAATTTTCAGAAAATGAATTGAGAGAAATCAGAGGATGGGAATGTAGTATGGACATGGACTTAAGCCTGATATTGAAGGATACGAGAATTTATAGGGGGAAGAAAAAGATGAAGTCTATTTCCGTTGGGGAAAATAACACAAACAAAGGAACAGAGAAAAGAATGTTCATTCTGTATATGAGTTATAGTATAGACTCTGGCCTGAGTGGAGTTAAAGGTTTATATTGGAAAGTATTGCCAAGGAAGCCTGGAGACACAGGGTGAACCTTGGATGCCAGGCTTAGCCATTTGTACTTCATCCTGAAAGAAAGAAAGGGCCATTGATTGGTCCAGGAAGGAAGTGACATAAAGGAAATGTTGCTTCTGGAAGACTAATTCAATGCCAACATACCATTTGCATACATAATACAGAGTCAAATTCAAGCTTTGCCTTTGTTCCTTGGAAGTTCCAAGTTATATAGATTTTTTTTGTATAAAGTCTACAAATATGTAAATATGTGAGACTGTAATTTTAAAGTCAATAGGGTCATGCAATGAGTGTGAGTATTCCTGTCATATTTTGAAAACAAACACACACACAGATGTGGGTGTGGCTTGCAGGATAACTTTGACATGTGGGATCTATGAAAGATTTAGGCATGTATGTTATTAAGAAGATGATAAGGAGTTATGTATGTGTGTGTATATATGTTATATATACAATGTAGTATATGATGAATAGGTAGAGTGAGGATAGCTTTTCCTAGATTGCTGAGTTTTCGATGTAGACCATCTGTTTAGTTCTGTTCTTGTATAATATATGGTGAGAAAATATTGTTAAATAAACCTTGGCAACACTGAAGGAACGTTGAAGTACTTCCCATTGCATTCTGAAGCAAAGCTTGCTTTTTTTATATTCTTAGAATGAGTGAAGAAGCTAGGGTTTTCCGTGGTATGGTTTAAAAAATCGTTTGTATTTTTAAATATTTCTCACTACAAATTAATGTGTTCATTATAGCAAAATGAGAAAACACAGAAAAGCACAAGGAAGAAAATGAAAAATTAATCAGTTTCTCAATATCGCAAAAGCTCCTATTACTTTTTTTGTTGTATACCATTCCAGATTCTCCCCTGCAAAATATATATTCATAAGTTACAAAATTAGGATTATGATTTACATATACCTTATGGTTTACTTTTTTCTTTCAATAGCATATTATGCAACTTTTTCTCTATTATTAAATATTCACCTACCATATTTCTGTTTATGGTTGCCTAGTTTCTCATATCATAATTTATTCATCAATGCCCTATTTTTGAATATCACTTTTGGTGAGTGCTTTTATTTTTAAAATAGGAAGATATTACATGATGGCATACACAATTAATTTGTTCTTGCTTCACGATCATGTGGTTTTAAACAACCTTAGGATATTGGCTACCAAATTAATCCAGTGTTATTTCATCTTACAGAACCCATGTTGGTTTTTCTCCAATAGCTTACGTTTGGTTGCCAGTTCAGTGATACATCCTTGTTAATAGATCCCATGATCTTTTCATAACTACCTATATGCTCACAGCAATTTATAGTTTATGAAGTATTTTCAGATACACTAACTTATTTGGACCCCAAGAATATTCTGTGGGGAAGAACGTAAGCTAAAAGTATTGAACACCTGCAATATGATAATTGCATGTAAAACATCTAGTACAATGCCTGGCAACGTAGAGACAGCTCTAAAAATATTAGGTATTACTATTTGACAGTCACAATTGTTATTTCCTTAAATTCCTATTTTTATTTATTTTGTTTTGGTTAGGGATTATTATACCCCTTTAATAACGAGGAAACTGAGACTTTAGAAATTTCAATAATTTAAGTGAGATACAATGCTAGATGGTGGAATAGCAAGATCCGATCTTTTCCTTCCCAGCCCAGTGTTCCTTCTTTACTGTGCTGCCTCTGACTGGGACTGAGCATCATATGTTTAATGCTTTTCACCGGGATTTGACTTCATTATAAGAGAAAGTTTCACTTGGCTTCTCTTCGATGACTGGTTGTGGGAAAATCTTTCTGACAAATCTCAAATTGTCTAGAATGTGGCAGTTTAAAAACACATCTACATTGATCTACAGTCTCAAGGTCCCACCTTTGTGTTACTTTTAGAATTTGTAGATGGATGTTATTCAGCAAGGATGACTCATCTACATTTGGTTTGTCAATTTGTTTTCAAAGATCATATGTACATAGCGTCCTTCGATCTTACTTTCCCTTTAAAATATGAAACTGATAATGACCTTGAAAAAGACTGAGGCAAAAAATATAGTTTCCTAAGTTTTACCTTTGTACCCTGAGTATGCATTCTCACCTTTGTGGCCAGGTAGTTTGGGGGATTCTCACCTGATCCCCTCCCTCCCTTTGCTGCCCTTAAGGAAAATAATAACTATTGGATACTAGGCTTAGGACATAGGTGACAAAATAAATTTTACAACAAACCCCTATGGCATGAATTTACCTGTAGAACAAACCTGCACATGTACCCCGAACCTAAAATTATTTTTTTAAAAAAACAACTTTTATTAGGCTCTTTAAACTGTCATGTATACCACTTCCACATTTATTTTGGGACTCAAGCTATATTTGAAGTATTTTGTGGCCCTCCTTATTTTTTTTTAATATGTATATTCTGTATTTTTTATGTTTTCCCTTTGCCTTTGAATACCTCTCGTAGTTTACCTATTGCTAATAAATGACATTTTACAAGCTTTGCCTTTATTTTTTTTCCAAGACCCACATTTACTCAAGGCTTGAAGAAGTTTTTAAGACCTTTAAGATATCTTGTGCATTATATATATTTATTTGTAGTTTTTCTTTACTAATGATGTCATTTTATCACTGTCCCCTTTTCTAAAATTAAATAACATTTTTGATTGATTTCTTTGGATTTCCCTCTACCACCAGGATGTGGGGTTGAATTTTGTTACACACAGCTAATTTCTGCAGCTACTTTTGTCAGACTCCTGTCTCCCCAGGCCCCACTTTCTAATTCATGCTGCAAATGTCTATCATAGGGAGCAGTTATAAACACCTTTTTATCAGTCATTAAAAAAAAAATTCTAGTGTTTGTTTTTTACTTCTAGTTTTCATTAAATAATAAAGAAGCCTCATTGTTAATATCTGCTTTTGGTGTCAGTTTTAAGGAAAACTAGTTTCATATCATAATAAAGGAAATTATTGTCTCTCTCAGTTCCAACATGTTAATTTGGGTATAGAATTTCAGCCACAAGCATCCCATGAAATTAATGTATCCATACTTTTAACACTAGTATACTTTATCTTCTTATTTCAAATGCTCTGTCTCCTTCTGTCCATTACTTCCTCTTCCCCAAGCAATTATGAGCATTTTTTGAATATGTCTGAATTTCTTCATTCCCATTGCCCCCACTCTAAATGTGTAGATACTATTGTCTCCAGTTTTAAGCAATTGCTACTGACCCCTAACTAGGCTCATAGAAATTGGTTTTCTACATCGAGACAGAGTGACCCTTAATATTCTTTCACCAACACGTAAGTCAGTATCATGTTCAGGGAAAAACTGAATAGCCAGATTCAAAGTGGGCTCTGTCACACAGGTTATTTAGGAAAGTCACTTAACATCTCCTGGATTTAATTTCATCATATGCAATGAAGGGATTGGAGGAGATTATAAGAAGTCATTTCAAGTGCTCCATTTTTTTAGTGTTTTTCAAATATATACAAGGCTTGGCAATATTCTTTATATAATGCTTGTATACATTGAAAGCAATGTAAATTTTAATTCATAACCCCAAGTATGCTAACTTCAAAGATCTCATCACTTGCTAAGGTACACTAAAGCCTATCACTAAACAATGGCATCAAAATCACATGAGGGTAACACAATTATCTACAGAAATATCTAGTCCCATTACCAGTTACTCCTGTGCTCATTTGAGTTAAACACCCTGCAATGTATATAGCTGTCCAAAAAAGGAGTGAGCAGGTGAGAATGTGAATGCTTTAATGGAGTACATTATACCTTTATGGCTTTTTCAAAAGTTAGCCATAATAATAATAAATAATATTTTCTTGGGTTCTATCCCCAAATTTAGGATCTGTCTAATCTCTTTCAAATCCCTCCTTTGTAAAATAGGAGATCCCCAGAGCAGATAGGACTAAGAAATTTCACATTATATAATATTCCAAATTCATTATTATGACTCAAGGAGATCATTATTCTTAAAAATTCTGTGGCTTAGTTTTTCTCAATAAAAAAAAGAGTTTAGTGATTTGTTTCTGAACATAGCAGAAGGAATAAGTTATGGAACATATTCTGTGTGTGCTCCCTCCTGTAGTCATCTTAACTATCATATGTTGTCCTATGCCTTGTTCCTGTCAATGGTTTCCAAGTCTCCCCTGTTTAGAGCTCTTCAATTGCTCCTTCTGAGTCGTGTTGAAATCATACATGTTCCAATAATTGATCACCTTGTTGAAATAGGCTAAGTACTTTCTACTGCAATTTGAGCTATGTTTTGTGATTATACCAAATGCTCTCTTAACCTTTCAGTATCCTCTGTTGAGTTTTTGAAAACTCATTTCTTATTAATGTGCCCCCTCCCCTAACTGCCAACAACTTTCAAGCACCCAAGAGATTCAAATATGATTTTATGGAGTTGGGTCAGGGAGCATTTCATTCATCATCAAAATTGCAGCTGTTTCCCCCAACAACGATGCCCCTGAAATCTTCATTTTTTTTTTATAATCAGCTTTTTCAACTGGAATCTTTTTTTTAGAGGTAGACTTATTCCTATATAGCTTTTCAGTTACTCATGTAAATAGACTCCTCCAAAAGTCCCATAACAGAGTACCAGCCCATTTTATAGTATATGGTAATATAGTGAGATATCTTAAAAATGATTTCTGACACAAACTGAGACCCCAGAATTTGTCTTTTCATAGATGAAAGCAGATAGTACCATTTTTCTATCACCTTTGATTTCTATTTAGAAATATTTAGAAATTCACTCTTCATCCCCATGTGAAAAAAGGTTTAGGAATGGTCTCATCATATTGGCCTCTCAAAACCAGCACAGAATTCTAATAGCACAACACTAGTCTACTTGGAAAATAGTTGGTGGGGATGGAGTAACAGATTGTGAACAGAGGCTTAATGGTATCCAAAAGTCATGGAGGCTAAGCTCCACTGAAAGATTCTGCAAGCCGTGGCTATAGCAATTTAAAAATAATACTAATACAAATACTTACACAGTGGGTCAAACTGATTCACCTGTTCTTATACTATTATTGTTAGTATGTTACAGGTGAAGAAAATGAAGTACTGGCAGTTTAAGCTGTCTAATGTAACACAGCTAAAGTGGCAGAGCTGGGTTTTCAACCTAGGTAGTCTGGCTTCAGAATCAACAGACTTAACCACTATGCTACACTGCTTCTATATAAAGAGCAGTATTTATATGAACATAATTTTGTAAAGATAAATAAGGATTGCCTATCCATCTTTCCAAGTATCCCCGTATATATAACCATTATCTGTTAATGAAGGTTCTAAGAGATCTTCAGTATTTCTGGATTTTCATTCATGGCTCTAAATAGCCTTTGTGTACTGAGTTAACTAACCCACCTTCTCTGGTGTTTGTTCTGGTTTAAATGAGCGCCATTAGATGTAAAAGTATTTGCAGAGATAGGTGGGAAAGAATGATGATGATAATGACAATGATGATAGTGATGGCTATGGTGCTGCTGCTGCTGGTGCAGTGTAGTTGTATAGCCCCCACAAACAAGGCAGGCAACATTTACAGAGCAAAACTCTGGAGAGAGGCAGGTTTGTAATACAAGGGTTCACCTTTTAATACCAGCTGCTATAGGAGAGGGACTGTTTGACATTGTGAGAGAGAGAGAAAAATCATACACACACATACACACACGTGTGTGTCTGTATATATATATGTATCTATAGACACATATGTGTCTGTAAATATATGTATCTATAGACACATATGTGTCTGTATATATATATGTATCTATAGACACATATGTGTCTGTATATATATATGTATCTATAGACACATATGTCTGTATATATGTGAATATATGTATATGTATATGTATACAGTGTATATATCATATATAGTATATATACACACATATATACACATATATACTATGTATACATATAGCTTTCTTGCGTAAATATATATATATATTTACTATGTATATATACACACCTTATTCAAAATATTATGTGTGTATATATATGCATATATAATATTTTGAATAAGTAAGGTCAGTCTTCCAGGCAGCATTCAGCCCAGCAGATGCTCTTTTCTTTGGTGAATCCCAGTACTTGTCTAAAATTTTCCATTCATATTAAGAAGGCGGTTTCAAATGCCATTGTGAAAAAAGCATCTATTTAATATATTTGCTATACTGCAGAGGACAATTGCAAAATGTGATTTTCTTGGACGCTGTTTACTGCAGATTAGATTTGATATATTGTTTGGGTTAGGATGTAAAGACTTCTGAAGTGAGAAGAAATTAGTGAAGTTGGAAATTTTGGATATTAATGCCAGAACCGTCTCATTTGTAAAATAGGGCTAATGTGCCTACCTCATAGGGTCATTTTGAAGATTAGTTGAGATAACATTATTTGAAACACTTCAGAGCACTATATAAATATAGACTCTCATTATTATTAAATATATGTATCATTTTAATACAATATTCCTTTAGTAGTATTTTCCTTTAAAATTTTCAGTTTGTGATCCTTTACCTTGAGGATGTTGCAAACAATAATTATTGTCCTTTAATTCAGCTAAAGAGACTGATGTGTAACCTTTACTTGCTTTTCCAAATAAAGATGTGATTGGTTGTTTACAGCACTGTCAATGTTTATCCAAGTCTGCTTCTTAGATTCTATGTCTCTCCAAGCCTCTGCTTTGAAGGCTTTTCTTTCCTAGAGCCTTGTAAACAAGACTTGCCTGTCTGTCAGGGTTTTTTCCCCCCAGTAATCCACAGCTCTGCCACTATATTTGAAGTTTGGCTTCAGTGGATCTTTGAAGACTGACTTCATCCTCCCGGCTTGCATAGGTCCCACTCCACCTCATCACATAGCTGCTGCACAGGAATCTTGCTGTCAGTCTGTCTCTGCACATGCCCTGCCTGGCCAAGCTGCATGGCTGGAAGCACCCCTTCCAGGCTGATACCACTGTCTTGCAGACAAAATATCAACAAATTGGAGCAGTCAGAAAGTTGCTGCCATCTGAAGTAAATGATCTTGGTGACACCTGGAAGGTAAAGTTGTGCTATAGCAGAGAGATGCCTTTCTCTTTGGGCTGGAGTTGATTTATTTATTTATTTATTTTTGCAACAACTTCTGATGGATTTCTGGTGGTGAACTGGCTGGCTGCTTCCCCTCGTGCCAGGGTGAGATTCTGTTTTTTCCTCTGGTAAATCTTTAACAATGATGTCTTATTTCTGCAGGTCTGTGCCCTACGGATATTTTTTTTCTTCAACATCTCATTTCCTCTTCTCATCTTCAGATGAGCTTTAACCTTACCTTTAATTCCATAAGGAAGACTTGACTTACCTGTCAGCTAATTTTTCCAACTCCAAATAGGCTGCACTCCATCAGAACACAAGTGCTGTTTTTGACAATTTTGACAGTGAGAAACACCTCCTTATTAGCTAAGCAGCTGCAGTTAGATCCTGCCATTGTCTCCCTTTCAGAATTGCATCAGGTGTATTGCTACACAGATAGTACCACTTCCAGAGGATGCTAACTCGTTACAGATGGCCAGTGTGTGAAAATATCAGGTAACATTTTTTGGAGTAATCTAGAAGCCCTATAGCTGCGCATCTCAAAGGGTAGTCCCTGGACTGGCTGCAAGGGCATCATCTGGAATCTGTTACAAATTCAAATTATCAGACTGTATCCAAGGCCAGTAAAATCAGAAACTCTGGAAAAAAGGGTGAATAATCTGGCTTAATAAGCCTGCAAGGTGATTCTGATAAACACCAACATTAGAGAACCATTGCCCTGCAGGATGAGGCACAATGGAATCTTAATTAGCTTATGGTGGTGACGTTAAATGAATACTCTCTATGCTAGATGCTTGTATATCTACGAGCAAATGTGAAGAAAGTCAGTGTGTAGAGTATACTCATTTTGTCACTCCATAGTCCAGATGTTGAATGCTTTCTAGCCGATAGGAATGATGTATTTTTCTCTATCACAGAAATTTGAGAGAAAAGTAACACTAATTCCTGGAACAAATGTCTCTGCAATATTCAAGAGGCTGAAAACAATGGCATTGTGTGTCTCATCCATAGTTCAAGGGAGTTTCAGGTCAACAGGCAGCCCTTGATCCTCACAGTCACTCATGACTGAGGCTACTGATGTCCCTGGTAACTTTAACATGTCACTTAGAAGATTGTCCTAGGAATCTGTATATCAGAATGAGCAAACAGGTCAGTTTTATGCTAAATCCTGGTAGCGCTGTACCTCATTTCTGGTTGCATTCAACTGGTTAAACTAAATCAGATGGTTACACCTCAAAGCCATGAACACTGGGAAATGGGGCCCAGCTGTGTTCCAGGAAGAAGCGGAAGCACATTGGTAAATAGCAGTCTCTGCCACAAGTAACACCTGTTTTCCACGCAACTCTTTTGATGTTCTCATTAGAGAATTTTACTTACAAATTATAGATATTTTTGTATCAGAAATCTAGAATAATAGTTCTTATTATGTTATACTCTCCGATATGGCTACACTTTCTATGTGACATAGAAGCCAAGGTGTTCCCCTACAGAAAGGTAGTGGAGACTTTGAAAAGCAGAACATGTATCACTGAGTTAGTGTTCAGCCTCTCTATATGTCTTAATTTGGACTCCTGATACCCGGTTTCTGACACCTGAATATTGAATTGAATGTATATGTATCATAGCACACCTTGAAGCTCATTTCCTGTTATCAAAGATATAATACTCAGAAATCTCAGATTTTCTAAACTAGAAAAATTGGAATAAGATTTGAGAGACCTGGGGAGCTTTGTGCTCATCAAATAGGTACCTTGCCTCTCTGAACAGGAATTCCTTTTTCTGTAAAATGGTAGAGTTAGACTAGATAATTTTGATGGTTTCTTCTGGTGCCAAGATGCTGTAATAGAATAAAATTGCTTACATATGATGTACCTGAAATTATTTGTCCATAAACTTTACTAAGTACCAACTATGTCCAAGACATTGCACTAAGTGCTAGGCAAATCATTGGACAAAACTTCTGTCCTCAAGAAGCTCATGATCTATTTGTAAAGGAGATAAATATAGTAGCAGATAACTATTAAGTAATGCAATATCTAAGTTGATTTATGAGTTTAAAATCTGACATAGTGAAATTAAAAAAATCAGTATTTGGAGAAATTAATGATGTCCATTGATAAAAATATTGAAGCTATCTTATTCTTATTCATCTTTCACATATCCTTTACTTACTAAAAGTGACTGACTCCCACAAGTTACCAGTATATGTAACACAGAAATCCAGTGTTCTTTTTCTTAAAACACCAGTATGTTAGATAATAATTCTTGAATAAATTCTATAATGCTATTTTTAAAAAATCAACTCAACACTGATTTCAGTGAAGTTCAGGTACTCCATTTGGGTGAATTTTAACTGGCAACGTGAAAAAAAAGAAAATTTGGAAGATGCTCAAATAGGATTGATAGAGGTTCATTTTGTGTCATATTTTCGCTTTATATGGATGTTGATATGTTCTCAGAATAAATTTATAACTGCAATAGAAAATGGAATGACTATTGATTATTTTTTAGTTACCCAAACTAATTGTCATATAAAGCTTTGTAAATCTTTTAAAATGAGTATGGGTGTAAATTAAAAACGAATTAAAGCAGAGGCTTATAAAGACACTATCTCCCCTTCAATGGGTTATGTATTTTTGTTGTGTGTTAGGAAGATATCTCTTGATCTCCACACCCAAAACTCCTTCCAAATGAACAAAGGCCTACACACAAAAATTATTTCAATTGCTAATAGCCAGTTTTTATTTTTCAAAAGTAAATGCTTTCTTTTTTTGAAAAGTAAATATAACTATTTTAACAAAGTAAGATTTAAAAAAAAAAACAACTCAGAAAAAAGTGCCATGCAGAGATAACAGGGCTGATCTGTCTGTTATCTGCAGCCTCTATCCTTACTGTTAACAAGCCTTTTATCTTTGAAGACACTAAACATCTGGGATCTAAGCACTGACACCTATTAGTTACAGTGGTTTCCTTTTACCTTTCTAAACTATCTGATAGATAAACCTCCAGGAATCCTACAAAATTAGGCCCTTAATTGACCAAACGAATGTCTGTCTCTCTTTTTCAATCTAAATCAAAAAGGAGTTTGCTCCTAGGAGATGAGATGATGTACAGTGGAAAAAAATATTTCAGCTGCAACTCCACTGGTAACCGTCAATGTGACCTTATAATCTCCCCCCAATTTATTCCCAAAACAGCTACCAAAGTGATCTTTCTAAAACCCACATCCGTCTACCCTGCTGTCTCTTAAAAAAAAAAAATCTCTGAAAAGTTAGGAGGATAAAGTCAGCACTCCCAGGTTTGATATCTGAGGCCCCTTCTCTTTCTTGTGTCTTTTCTCCCCTCTCTTTCCTACACCCTTTAAACTATAGAAATGATGAAGAGGTGCCATTCCACTGGTAGTGCCTGCTCTGTCATCTTAGTTTTGAAGTCCTGATATTTGCTGCCTGTTCTGGTGAGAAATTTGTTGTCTAAGACGTACCTCAGTAGTACCACTGACTTCCATGTACCCTCCAGGCCCAATCAATCCCTTTGTTGATTAACTGAGCAAACATTCATTGAGCTCTTGTTATACACTAGGAGCTGTTCTGTACATTGGGTAATAAACAAGGCCCTTATTTTCTCTGTGCATCTCACCATAAAAGGTAGTGGGATAGACAAGTAAGCAAATAAGATTATTTGCAGCTAAATGAAGAAAATAAAACAGGATGATGAGTGCATATGGTTATATGAGACTCACCACATTGAGCTCCCTTAGAACTCAGCAGTCATGTGCTCATCATTGTTCCCACATTCTTCCTGTCCCAATTTCAACATGGTGTGTGATACACTTGCCTCACAGAATACAACTGGATGAATGAATGAATGGTTAACCTCTTTAGTTATTTAAGCCACAATTTCTTCATCTAAAAAATTAAGGAATCGAAGTGAGTACTAAAGTCCCATTACTTTTGGGATTTTAGCTGTAGATATTCTAATTTTCTGATATTTCATTTAGTTATGATATTCTAATATATAAAATGTGAATATTATTTTGATATTTATTGTATGGAGTACTAAGTCACAAGTAAAGTTCACAGGATCTTTAAAATCCTTTTTAAAAACAAGATGGCAGCTGAATAGGTATCAGAAGACTATTTCTGGCGATTTTGTGAAGTGATTTCTTCAGATTTACTGGTAGCACCTATGTAAGTCTTTTGAAACCTGTTTGTGAAACATTTTGAATCCTATGTGACTATATTAAAAACTAAATGAACTAGAAATTATAATTTATATTCAATGGAAATATTAGAATTTAACATATTTTAAAAACAATTTATATTCATTTATAAAACCAAATTCAATTAAATAACTGGGTAATGTTATTTTTATAAAAATGCATTAAATCACATTTTCATTAAAATCATTTACACATTTTGAATACAAAGAGAAAAACAGAAGGAAAGAGATAGCAAAATGGCAGCAGAAATTAATTAACTGAAAACAGAAGGAGTATAGAAAATCCTTGGATAAAATCAGCAATAATAGCCACATGTCTGGCAATTTCAATAAAAAATAGAAAATAAAATATGCAAAATCATGAATAATAAAGGGACTATATTGATATGGAGATTAAAAACTACATAAAATTTACTTCGTGAAGGCCATTTTGATACATTTGAAAATCTTAACACATTGGATGAGTTTCTTAGAAAAATATAATTATAAAAATTTACTTAAAGATTGAATTAGTAAATATTGAAAAATAGAAAATAAAGTACCATAGAATTATCTCTTAAAAGGCTCTTGCCCTGCATGGTTTTATAGACAGATTACATGAAAATGCAAAAGTGAAGTTAATTCTCATATTAACATTTTTTAAGCCCAGAAAAATAAAATTTTAGGAAAAGCAAAGCCCCCCTAACCTACTGTTACGAAGCTACATAACCGTAATACCAAAACTTTACTGCCTGATTTCACTTATATGTGGAATCTTAGAACGTTAAGCTCTAAGAAGCAGAGAGAAGAATGGCGATTACCAGGGGCTGCAGTTGCAGGTAGGAGAGCTGGGGAGATGTGCATCAAACGATAGAAGATGTCAGTAAGGTAAGAGGAATAATTTCAAGAAGTTTATTGTACAATATGATGACTACAGTTAATAAAAATGCATTGTAATCTTGAAATTACTAAGAGAGTGCATTTTAAATGTTCTCACTACAAAAACTGGCCAGTACGTGAAATAGGCTTATACTGATTAATTCGATTTAGCCATTCCAGCATTTTTACATATTTCAAAGCATCTTGTTGTATATGACAATTATATGCAATTTGTATTTGTCAATTAAAGTAAATAAACAAAATAGCAAGTAAATAAACAAAAAATACCACAGAGATACAAAACTCCTAAATAAAAGAACAAATCAATTTTATCAATATATAAATATAATGTATATTATTAAAGATGAGCTTATTCTAGGCATGCATAATTTAATACAGATAATTGTCTTATATAATTATTCAGTCAAATAATAAAATCTGTATGTTCACCTCAACAAATCTCCAAAAGGTTGTTTGATGCCATTTAAACTATATTATTGTTAAATTCTTTCTTATGGGTTAAAGAAAATCAATAGATAACATTACTCTTTAAAGTGAGAACCTAGGAGCAATTTTATTAAATGAGAAACAAGCTGCAGATGGCTGCTATGAGAAACTTTTTGTTTGGTGTATTTCGGGAAATGAAGTAAGGCATGAAGTTTAGTGAACTGGAAAGAAAGAGATAAAAATTATTTTTATTTATATAAAAGCTGACTACATGGAAACCCTAAGAAAATCTACAACAATAACAGCAACACCAAGGCGTCACTTGGACTAATAATAAAGATGTTTAGATATTTGGCTTTTATCAATTAAATATTTAAAAATCAATATTTTCAGTTTTACAAGATGAAAAGGGTTATGGAGATAGATGGTAGTGATGATTGTACAACATTATGAATATATGTTTTCTACTACTGAATAGTACACTTCAAACTGGTTAAGATGGTAAACTTTATATGTATGTTTTACCACAAAAAAGTTGGAAAAAAATCAATAATTTCTCCACCTAACAAAAAAGCAGATAAAAAATACAAAGAAAAATAAAATGTATCTTTGAATATGGCAACAGACTTTAAATAGAATTCCATAATTTCTATGAAAAAATTATCCCAGCGCTTTGGAAGGCCAAGGCAGGTGGATCACGAGGTCAAGAGATGGAGACCATCCTGGCCAACATGGTGAAACCCCGTCTCTACTAAAAATACAAAAATTAGCTGGGCATGGTGGCACTTGCCTATAGTCCCAGCTACTCCGGAGGCTGAGGCAGGAGAATTGCTTGAACCTGGGAGGCAGAGGTTGCAGTGAGCCGAGATGGCACCATTGCACTCCAACCTGCAGCCTGGCGGACACAGCGAGACTCCGTCTCGAAAAAAAAAAAAAAAAAAAAAAAAGGATTACAACAGATAGTGGATGCCATGTCTTTTCATTTTTATAACTGCTGACATGCCATTATTTCATGAATATTATAAATATATCAGTTCTTTCCAACTTAATTTACAAATATTACTCCTTTTCCAACCAACTTCAAAACTAATAATTTCTAGAACTTTTCATAATTATTCTAAAGTGAATTAAATTAATGGTTTGGAGTAATGAAATAAAATGATAACTAAGACTCACATAGTACTTAACATGTCATAGGTGACCTCCTGTGCTCTAGGTATATTAACTCACTCATTCCTCACCAAACTCCTATGAGATAGATTCAGTTATCCTATCCCTCAGTTTCCTCGGGGGATTGATTCCAGAACCTCTCATCCCCAGTCTAAAATCTGTGGGTACTCAAATTCCTTATATAAAATGGTGTTTTATTTGCATAAAATCTATGTACCTCCTTCCATATAATTTAAAACATCTCTTGATTACTTACGATACCTAATACAATGTAAATGTCTGTAAATTGTCATTATATTGTATTATTTGTATCATTTTTATTGTGCTTTTTTCTGAAAATGTTCAGTTGCATTTGAATGAATCTGTGGATGTGGAACTGCCAGGACCAATTGTACCATTATTAATCCCCATTTGCAGTTAAGGAAAGTGGGCATTCTCTGATTTGCCCAAAATTACATAACTAATAAATTCCTGTATGTTGAAGCCTGTATGAACACAGGCATTCTTGACTCCAGGGTTCATATTCTTAACCTCATTATTCTATATTCCTTATAAAATATCAACAATAACAAAAATATTGTTGGTAGTAGTAATAGTAATATATATAATAGCACGGTAGTCTGGCATAAAAATCTATAGATAGGCCATTGAGAAAGAAACATAGCTCATCTATTAACAGATTCTGTGATGTTTAAGAATGAATTATTTGATACAGGTTGTATTACAAGTGAATAAGAAAAAAGATTATTGAAATTAAGCAAGTTATTCAAGGATTGTTCAGTGATCCTTTCAGATAAGTTACTTTCCTATTTTATAGCAAATAAATTTCAAATAAAATAGGAATTAAAAATAAAGTATGACAAAGTATTGGCTTTCATGACATGAAAATATTTCCAAAATATTAAATTTTTTATTTAGAAAAAGGTCCTAATGGAAAAAAATCCATGTTCATAAAATTAGCAAATCCTTCAGAATAAAAATAAAATATTTGAATATTGATATAGAGTTTGAAACCCCATAATAAAAATACAGTAAAAGATGAATAGGCAATTTACAAAATATAGGTGGATAATAGCAACCTTTAAAATTTAAATGTTGCTATAAAAAAATTAAGTAAATTTACTAAGTTAAGAATTAAACTAAATATTTAATTTAGCACTCAGAGCATAGTATAGTGGCTTAAATATGAACTTCAGAGCCAATCTGCCACCAATTTATTCACTGCATAAACTTAGGCCAATTTCTAATATTTTCCAACTCATTGATCTTCTAACATGGAGAATATGTTAAAAGTCATAGTCACCTCCCTGCTTCAGTTCTCAGTGCCGCAACACATTCTATCCAAAGGCTGCATCTAGCTGCACTTGGTTCTAATCGCATCTAATTTGAGGTATGTGAAAGAACGTTGTACTAATCATTTGAAGATCTGACTGTAAATCCTAGCCCTCTGCTTAGTAGTTAAATATATGGGCAGATCACGTCACCTTCTTGGTTAGAATAGGTGACATTGTATTGGACTAGATTAGATCAATGATTTTCAAATACATTTCTGAAGATCCCTGGTGTTTATTGGTGATGACTTGGTGGCTCCTGCAAAGGCTGGGACTAGGCACAAGGAGAAAGCCTAGAAAAGGAATTCCAGTCCTCAACACTTGATTTGATCTGCCGTGATGAATGCCAGTAACAATTGTTGCTATTACCTAGGCTATCAAGAGGAAGCATGGCATGGCATCAGCAGGGAGGCATGTTTAGAAGTTGATTTCAAAGTCTGTCTCTTCCTATAAACTTTTTTCAAGGTGTGGTCTTTAAATAAATCACATAAATTGTAAGATCTTGTTTCACAAGAAGGTGTCATTCACATCTTCCCTGCAGTACCTTCCACCAGGCTTCGTGTGGATAAAGGGGTATAAAATAGCTGGAAAAGAGGCGTAGATTAACATATGTTCCTTTGTCCTGGCTTCATTTTTCTTTCACTTCATACATCCTGCTTTTGCTAAACAAACACAAGCAAAAAGTCCACCAATTTATTTTTTCTAAAGGAGTTACTCTTTGTTACTGTTTCTTTTCAAGAGCCATGTTACTCAGCTTCATTCTTGCTTTACAGATTTTCCCACTTCTCATTGCTAATGTTTGATTCTCCTGCGTCTGACTGACCACCACCACCACCACCACACCCTTTGTCCTTTGTTTAGATGCTAGGTTGAAGTTTAGGAATGAGAGCTTTGATGTTTTTTTGGAATTTCCATGGTGAGAACTCATTACTGTTGATCTCAGTTCTCTGAAAATTGATGCTAATAAATGTGTTCCAGAATTGAGATGTGATCTAGTTGTTATACAGTTAATTACGGTAGCATGATTATAATGTAAATTGTAAAATGTTGCCAAACTGCATATTTGTAAATTAATGATCCATGGTGCCCAACTGTATCCTTAAAATGTGTGAATTACTTTATTTGATTTTTCTAATAATGCTGTCTTTAGACTCAAGCTGAATTCGGAATTGTTTTTAATGTGGTGCCCTCACAAGGTTTCTCTTTTGCTAGATTTCCTACAGATCTACCTGCCTCTGGGCTGACTGTCAGTCCGGATGATTGTGCAGGTTGCGTGAAGGCTCATGATCTCCTGCATATCTTAACAGTGTGGTTGCTCCTGGAGCAGAATGATTGGCATACAGCAATCCCTCAATGACTACAACTAGGACTTCTGAATGCATTTACCATCTGTTGAACAGAGATAGGATTTCAGGACATCAGAATGTATTTAATAGCTTATTCAAGGTTCTTTCTTGATTTCCCAGGGTGATCACTGAAAATATTGAATAAAATTGGTCCCTAGATAGGGATCCATCAATTCTACAACAACAACCCATGCTATCCTCCAAAATGGACATCCTGTAGAAATTTATGATCCTTATTTAGGAGTTGATGAATCTTGTTTAACATGACTATGAGGGTCATCAAATATTTTTTGCACTTATTTCAATGGCTGAATAATCAAAGAATACTTTGTACTCTAAAAGGAGTTAACTGATGATTTTTAAAATCGTATTTTGTTAAAAATATATTAGCCACAACTGCATATATGTCAGTTTAAGCAAGTACCATAGGAATTTACTGAGGCTTTTTCTGCTTTCTTTTTGAAACATGAAATACTAAAGAAAAACACATATTGGAATATTAGTAAATGTTACTTTTTCTAGCTGAAGCATCCCAGCAGAGAAATTTCATCAGTCTTTTTGACTGATCTCAACAGACTTTGGCAAATTTGAGGCACTGAGCAAGATTTTTACTTTAAAACTGTGTCCCATCATTGTCCAGACTCCATAAGTTTAATACTCGTAGGAAGGGTCCCTAAGCACTATTAGTGTCTTTACTATATATCAGATTGATCTGAAGATTGTAAAAATATGTCAGTCTGAAGCAAATTTGTGTGATTTGTGTTAAATTTCAGAATATAATGTGACCAAAGAGATGGCGCTTCAGTGGATGGCTGTACACAGTAACAATGGATTTTATCATATTAATTTTCGGAAGCGAATTGTATAGGCATTTTCATGACATTTCAGAGAATTTTAAGCAGCTGCTTTTCAATTTTATTTAGCCTTAAGGATATGATTGCATTGCAGGCAACTCAGACGTAACTGCCTGGAGCTAGTGCGGAAAGTTCCTGGGATCATAAAATGAAGAACAAAGTGGGAAAATGTGAATTAACAGGGTCTCTCAAAGGATACAGTTAGGTGTATTGATGAGCTTAGAATGTGGGTCCCACCTCAAATATTTGAATTGACCAGATGTATGTATGAGTGCATAATCATGGTTATGTGATTAGCTGAATACACTGGGGCAGAGGTTGATCTCCACTTAGCCAGTGTTAGTGAGGACGTTTCTAATCTGAGTCCTGGAATGGAATGGTCAAATGAATCTGCCATATTATAGAGCATTTTAATTTAACTGCTCTTGGGGTGATGAACCAAACCCTAATATCTCAACATTAGGACTATCTCTGTAGAAAAATGCACATTTACAGTGTAAGATACCAAGACCTCTATAGGTTAATGAAATAATAGATATGAAACATTTGGACTCATAGTAATGGTATTACCAAGGTTTCTCTAATAACAGATTCATAGATGGTGAAACATAAATCAGGAGGCAGAGTAGATAGAAGACCTAATTTCTTCTCTATCTCTCCCAAAGAATGTTCTAGGTGGGTGTTTATAGGAGGCCAGTGTGATTTGGGAGTCCTACTAACAGGAAGAATGGATTCTCTCTTGTCACTCTTGAGTTTTATTCATTATCTAGCCTGTAGGCCACATAATCCACATTTTTTTTTTTTGAGATGAAGTTTTGCTCTTGTGGCCCAGGCTGGAGTGCAATGGCACAATCTCAGCTCACTGCAACCTCCGCCTCCCAGGTTCAAGCAATTCTCCTCCCTCAGCCTCCCAAGTAGCTGGGATTACAGGCATGGGCCACCATGCCCGGCTAATTTTGTATTTTTAGTAGAGACAGGTTTTCACCATGTTGGTCAGGCTGGTCTCTAACTCCTGACCTCAGGTGATCCACCTGCTTCGGTCTCCCAAAGTGCTGGGATTACAAGCGTGAGCCACCGCGCCTGGCCACATAATCCACATCTTAATCACAGACTCTAACTTTCATATTACCATGTATAATATCTGGGATACAAATGTAGAATTTCTAACTAAGCCGTGGAGTCTAGGAACATTTCAGTTTGGGATTTACAAACAATATCAAGGTTCTGCATAGGAAATAGAAGCTTTATAGCCAAGGGGCTTTCTAAGCAGCAGCAGTTTGACCCTCATCTGTCACAAATAGATTTGCACACCTATATTTACATTCAACCTAAGGGAGATTATAGAACCTCAAAGTTTAGTGTAACTTGTTTTTCTAGTCTGCAGGCATCTGTGTCTTATTTTATCAATAAGATCAATCAATAAAATGATTGGATCCCATGTTGGGATTATACACTAGAACTTTGGAGTTTATACTTCTCATTTCACAAATACTAAACACAAGGCAATACAATTTCTGAAATAAAAGAGACTACATCTTATGAAGATTTTATTAAAACAAACATTTTAATTATTATTTATTCTTGAATATTTTTAAAGCACATTCATTACTTGGAACTTCAGTCAAGTTAATAATTTCCCAAGACCTATCAACTCAAAACCATTACGTTTTAAAGTTAACTGTAAAGCTTCTCCCCATATTGGAAAGTATGATAGCAATTCCATGTATTATAGGATTAATTTTTCAAGCAAAAATTTCCAGCCTTTCCAAATAAGAGTTCGGATTCTTGTTTTTCTGATATGTTAGAAGAAAATGAATGTTATCCACTGACTAATGAAAGGAAGATAGAGGACACAGCCTCCGCCCCATCGCAATTAGCCTATGTGTCAGTGATGTCATAGCTAGTCAAATCTTAGGCTAAAGATTCTGTTCAACCCAGACTCAAATAAGAATGCATTTCCTCATTGTTTTGTTAAAAATAAAAGTGTAGAAGGAGGGGAAAAAGTTGTCAGATGAGACCTTGGGAGTTTGCACACCTCCCAGATTTTCTGAAGCAAGCCACAGTTAGGAAGGAGATTCTTGGACAGGTTTTCAATCAACTGCACTTTTCCCATGTCTCTACCCCAAGTGAGTGAGAGATTGCATAATGGAGAGATAACTGGCCTCAAGAAATAGATGGTTTCCTTTCATGTAAACACTTATGAAGAAGTCTTGTGGTGTTTGATTGGAGTCACCCCCTGCATATTTGCAGCTTATGAGACAAATCTTCCTCTGAATTTTCTCCACTGCATCACATTAGGAGAATAGGAATTAGCTTCTTGTTCTCTCAACACTGAAGTGTCCCCACAATAGTAGTTACGAAAACAGCACTACTTAATATTTTTTTTGATCGAATGATCCAAGGGGAGCCGTGGATGCATATTGCTTGGCTTTGTTATTTTCAAACCCTTAGGCAAGAAACCATTTGCTTTAACATTTAGGCAAGACCATGCTAAATGCAGAGTACAGACTAAAAATCCCAATTTGCCAATTCAGATAGCATTTACCTAGAGAAAATATTGGAATACGTTAATCTATCTCAAGGTGTTTAAGCAAGGTAATGTACATTCTAGTGACACTTTATATTTCTTCTTCTCTCAGGAGAAATTTGGAGTCCATTGAATAGATTCTGAGGAGAGATCTGAATTGCTTTTAAAGCAAAATGTACTTAGGAAGGTGGAGGAATTACGCACAAAACAATGTGGGATGTGGAAAAGCTGCCTTGTCCTGTGTTTTCTGATCAACCTGATTAAACCCCTTCTCCTCTCTTGTAGCCCATTGTGACCATATATTTATTCATACATGCTCTTCCTTCTACTCACAGTGCAGACCCCTTTTCTTCATTTGACGACTTCTAGACATCTTGTTGCTCTTTATCTTTGTTTAGAGGAGCCTTTTCTGAATGTTGACTGTTCAATTTATGTTCTCTTCTGCTATTCTCTTTTCAATTCTTGGTCTTCTTTTCCTTTGTAAGACTTAGTACTCTTTGTAATTTTGGATTTATTTCTGTGCCCATTGACTTGACACTTGCTTTTTAACCACTCCATTTCCTGTCCTCGCCACTACTCTTATCTGTACTACTTAGCAGAGGCACATGTAATAGAGTACTGTATTAGGGTTCTCCAGAGGGACAGAACTAATAGGATATATGTATATATGAAAGAGAATTTATTAAGGAAAATTGACTCACACCATCTCAAGGTGAAGCCCCATGATAGGCTGTCTTTAAGACAAGAAGAAGCCAGTAGTGGTTCAGTCCAAGTCCAAAAGCTTCAAAAGTAGGAAAGCTGACATTGCAGCCTTCAGTCTGTGGCCAAAGGCCCTAGAGCCAACCAGCAAACCGCTGGTGTAAATCCAAGGCCAAAGAACCCGGAGTCTGATGTTGAAGAACAAGAAGCATATAGCAAAGGAGAAAAATGAAAGCCAGAAGACTCAGCAAGCCAGCTTATCCCACCTTCTTCTACCAGCTTCGTTCTAGCCTCACTGGCAGCCAATTGGATGGTGCCCACACACATTGAGGGTAGGTCTTCCTCTCTCAGTGGATTGACTTAAATGTTAATCTCTTCTGGCAACACCCTCACAGACACACCCAGAAATGATACTTTACTAGACATCTGGGCATCCTTCAATCCAATCAAGTTGACACTTAATATTAACCACCACATATACTATATTATTTATAACAAATAATCTACAGTACTATTTATAACAATGTGTGATATTATTTATAACAACTAATATGTAATACACCTTTATTGTTCTAAGTTGAAATTAATATATGATACAACTTATCTACACATGTAATTTTTTAAAAATCAGTATCATGGTTAACTAGAAGAAATTATGGAAATTAATTATAATAAAGTATTAAGTATTCAATATGTAAATGCTCAGGCATAACTTCACAGAATGATGTGATAAAGTAGGAAGATGCATACAAGTATGCATGGCGTCACCTGGACATGGCCACTACACATGCAGAAGGGTATGGCATGTTGTTACAGTGATTCAGGTGCCATGGCATAGCTACTCATGATGTGATTTTCCAAAATTGTGGCCACATGTTGGTAAATTCTGAATCAAACTATGTGAAATATGTTCTGATTAATATGATACTTGCACTCAGAGAACTCAGTATGTATTAAAACTGTGTAAATAATTCTTTGTATAATATCTAGTACATGGAGAGAGCTTCTAACCTCAAGCAATTATAAATTGGCTTCTCACCCCCATGAATAAACATGCAATGAGATCTTTGAAAGTCATGCAGGATTTGGGAGAGTTATTTATTGGTGAGACTGTCCTGAATATTGCAGTGTATCTAGTGCCCCTGGATACTGCCCAATAAATGCCAAGGGTTCCCTCAGTTACTGTGACAATCAAAAGCCGTCCCAGCTAAATTCTAGAGTTCCCCATTGAGCCTTCCAAAGCATCACCACTTTTGAGAATTTCTGGCCATTCCTATTGTAGATGCTCCAAATGTATTGAAAGAATTAATCAACTTACACCATTCTTATTGTTTCTTTCTGGCTTAATTATTTATGTTTTGCCTTTTTGAGGATTTTTTATCTCTACATTTAATGTTGCAACTTGATATGGAAAATACTTAATAATTATTTATATTTAATTAAGCACAAAAGTGAATAATAAAGTTCTGCAAGTGCTAGGGATAATCGTCATAGTCCCTCTGTGCTGTTCCTCCTCCTCCACCTACACTTTTTGTTTGCCCCGGCACATTCTAATGTTTAATTCCCTTGGGTTGTAATAGGGACAGTGGTATTGGTGGAGGACTATTTTCCAATTTCTGACCCAGCATTGTTGCTCCTATTCTATTCTACCAGTTGCTGATAAGATTAAGAAACTGGAGGACAGACTTGCATGAGGCAAGTCTACCTGTGAGGGGCTCAGAACTTCCTTATGTTTTCTTTCATCTTCTCATTGAACGTTTTCTCACATTTAAATATTATTCTCTTCATTATAATGGTTTTCATTATCAGTGTTTCCAGGCACACGGAAAAAAACTTTACCAGGCCTGAAAAAAGCTTGTAAATGATAGCAATAACGTAGACAGAGTCATATACAAAAAGATTCTCTGCATTATTTTTATATCTATGCTAATGACACGTTATAATTTTTATTTTTGTATGTTCATTGGTATTCGAAAACAAAATTTAAAAAGGAATTGAAGAAGGGTTTGCTTGCACCAAGTCACTAGACAAGGAGTGAGAATGCCTGTATTTTATACTGACTTCAGGAACTGTGCTATCTCAAATCAGACCCTTAACCTATTTCTTGCAAATTATCTTTCCCTTGTGAGGCTAAATTAATGCTTGTAAACAGTGCTGAGAATGAGCTATTTCAGTGGAAGATGTTTTAGAAATGCAAAGTGTTATTGTTGCAATTTGTGCTTATGTATATACATCTTTACTTTCAGTGCTGAGCCGTGATTGTTCAGGGACGGCTAAACCTCAGACTGAAAGTTTAGATAATGATACCAGGTATTTTCACAGTTTCTTGAATCTGAGAACCTCAAAATATTCAGTCCCAAATGCGAATACATATTGGGTAGCATATGTGTATGTGTGTATACACCACACACACACACAAACGCACACACACACACAGTCACCTGATTTGCAATGGGAGTTATGGCAGATGGCAGGGACAGAACTGCCTATTCTGTTCTCTCACTGGCTACCTGGTGAGCAAGCTGGGAAAACAATGAGAAGAGTCCCAATTACATAAAGCCTTGAACATGCAAAATTGAAATGACAAGCTAAATCCACTTAAATCAAGTTGATTTTTTAATTTAGGTTATTTTATATCCATGAAAATAGTGAAACTCGATTTCTTCTCTAATCCTCTTATAGCACCTGCTACTTTTATCACTCATCATTTTTCATGGTACTTAATCATATCTCCCTTATGTTGTTACCTGTTTTATGGGCATACATCTTGTCTTTCTAATTAGATTTCAAACTCCCATGAAATAATGATCATCTTTTCTTTAAAAAATGAGAAGTTCTTCTCACTATTTATCCTGCTTTTTGACCCATATTCTGTAATCCACATATGATTGTTATAGAATATAAAATAGTAAAATAAAACTATTATGTTGAACAATATTATAGCTGGCTTTCCATACCAAAATTCATTTCACAATTTCCATCTGGGTAAAATCTTCATATATATTATCCTCCCTCACCAAGTCTCACACTGCAAATATCATATGAAAACATAAATTTCAAAGAAAAACTGACATCACATCTTCACAAATAGTAACTTCAGATTATGCTGAAGTTTCCATCTTTGTGAGGTTTATTCATTTGAAAGGGTGTGTATTAGTTTGTTTTCACACTGCTACAAAGATAGTACCGGAGCCTGGGTAATTTATAAACAAAAAAGTTTTAATTGACTCACAGTTCTGCATGGCTGGCCTCAGGAAACTTACAATCATGGCAGAAGGTGAAGGGGAAGCAGGCACCTTCTTCACAAGGCAGAAGGAGAGAAAGAGAGCCCAGGTGATACTGCCACTTTTAAAACCTGCAGATCTCATGAGAATTCCCTCACTATTACGAGAACAGCATGGGGTAAACTGACCCCATGATCCATTCACCTCCCAGCAGGTCCCTCCCTGGATACACAGGAATTACAATTTGAGATAAGATTTGGGTGAGGATACAAAGCCAAACGGTATCAGGGTGTTACATTTCAGGAGAAACATGTTTTGGGAAATCTTTTACCACTCCCTTCTTCCACACCAGACTGTACATCACAGAAGCCAAATATATTCTATTCTTTTATCAACAGCATGCCTTGCAGAGAGAATGTTTTTAAAAATGGTTGAAAAAATATAGTGTTGACTCTTTTCTGGATACTTCAGTTGCTTGCGTCGATGTATATACTTATATGTGTATGCTAACATTTTGTCCCAAGTAACATAGTAAAGACAGTAGCGTGCAAATCTAGGACTGAAAAGAAAACCGTCTTAACACCAATCTGCTTTTACTCTGCTTGCATGTAACCCATTTATGTCAGCTGATTGTCCATCTGGCTTCACAGACAGACTGAATGGACACCTGAATATGTTTCACATTACTCTGCTTTTATAGGTATTGCCACCATTATAATATATGACCACCAAACTCTACAGCAGTTTCCAAAGTGTGTTTCAAACAATGTGCTCAGTGTAGGAGGTTAATAGGTATTACTAGGAGAACAACCTTTCATGGTCAGAGACACTTGGAACAATTATTGGCTTTGGATATGCTAAATGTTAAACAGTTTCTACAAATATGAAGCTTCTCAAAGCCTATAATGTATTACTGTATTATTTAAAATCTTTAAGAGAACCATATATTATAAAGTGATTTCTCAAGCTCATTTAATCATGAGAAAATTTTGCAAAGCACACTGAGGGATTGATGTTCCTTAGAACACACAAGAAATATTTTAATAGAATCTTTTCTGATTATGTATTTCAAATTATATTTTGGTAAGTACAACCATATTAATACACAAACGAATTCTACAAACATGATTCTTAAATGTGAAGCAATTAGAAAATACATACTTTTATTTTGAATAAACCAGAGCAACCGCCAACCTTAAATAACTCTGGAGTTAGTAATGTGAATGATTATTCTTGTGTTTTAAAAATTTTGAATAAACCAGAGCAACTGCCAACCTTAAATAACTCTGGAGTTAGTAATGTGAATGATTATTCCTGCATTTTAAAAAAAATAAATTCTATGTTATTCTTAAAAGAATCTTACTTAACAGTCATTACCATTGAGTTCAAGTTGGCAGAGAATTAGCTATTTCTGCTGAGTTTTTTTTTTTCTTCCTCCATTGGTGAGTACAATAGAGTGAATCTAGTTGTAGCCTCTAGGCCAGGATCTTGCAGAATCTCATGAGTCTTCATTATGAGCATCAATTTTCAGTTTGTGGGGCTGTATCTCTAGAAAGTCTAAGGGCTGATTTGAATCAGGGTTCTTCCTACTCCACATCCTGAAATCTATCGTTCAGATTTTAAAAGTCCTTTATCAGCTTATTTTCTTCTTTGCCATAAAACAGAATGAAGAATGTGAAATTGTTATTGTTTCCTGGGAGGTAGACCAAGGCTGCCTTTTCCATAAAAAATATAAATTTTGAATGAAAGGAGAGAAGAACCAACATGTATTGATTATCTGCTATGTGATCATCACGTACCATCAGAACAAGCCTATATGATTCTTCTTATTATGTTTAATTATAAATTAAGAAACCAGGTTCCCTTCCCACCACAAAAACTAGAAAATGGCAAAAAGGGAATGTTTGTTTAGGTATGTCATATTCTGAAGTTCAGTCTCTTCTTTTAATCACATTACTTTCCAACCAAAAGCTACAAGCAGTCTTGTACAAAGATAATCTACTAATTATTGAAACTTGTTTTTAAAAAAATGATACCATTTTAAATGTTTTCCATTTTAATTTCAATTTTAAAAATACCTTGACCATATTTCAATTTTAGAAATATCTTTATCATATTTACATTGTTAATGTAATATCTGCATGGTTAGGGATGTCTTTAGCATCAAATAGCAAGACAATATAGGAGATTAAACAAAGAAATGCTGTGTGTATTTTGTCATGCGTCCTTAAACTTATGCTGGAGAATAGTGGGGCTGACATCTCTGCGATTCTTCTAGCTGTTTCTCCATGCTATTTGTCTTAAAGTTCACAAAAATGGCTACAGTATTTTATATCATATCCACATTCAAAACAGATGAAGGTGATGGTGGCAGGAGGAGTGGGGTGGGAGATTTCAGTGTAAGTAATTTCCATCCCTCTATCAACAAAAGCAAAAGTGTTTGCTGAGTCCATGTCAGACATCTGTTTACTTCTCTGTGCTGAAAATGATGACATATAATCATATAAGAAAGGTGGAAAATGAGACCTTACCTCAGCAGACAAACAGCTGCCCTCAGCGAGGCTTTCTTAGGAGGAAGAGGGGCTAAATGTCATCTAGGTCACTAATATTGGCTGCTACAATATGCCTCATACTGTCTTATCAGCTTCAATCCACATTTCTGTCCTGCTTTCATTAAGTTTACTGATTAGTTGTGATGAATCAGCCTTAACTATTTCATGGTTTGTGGAGATTGGTTCATTCTGAGTACAATAGGATGGTGGGATTTTTGCTTTAATGTTCATTTTAAACAGAATTCTAGACGCAGATCTAACATTCAAACTGAATTATGTTTTCTGTTACAAGACGGTGAAATGTCTTGGATATATCCTCAGGATATGTCAGTGCTTTCTCATAAAATAATGTAAGCAATAGCATTTCTTATTTGTAGAGCATTTTGTTCTGGGTGGAATCTGTGTGGTGGTTCTAGGGGCTGGACCTAGGGAAGGTAATAAAATGAAAGTTAGCTTTGGAGGGTTTAGAAGCCAATTTGAAAATACCTATCAGAATCTAAAATGCACATACCCTTTGACTCAGCAGTTTTACTTTTACAAGTTTATTCTAAAATATCGATACTTATACAAAATTACAAATAATACATAAAATGATATGTGACTCTTGTTTTATAATAATGAAAAACTGGAAACACCTAAAGTGGATGTCCGTTAACATTTTATATATTTCTATTTTGCTTCCATTTTTGTAGCAAACATGACTTATATTCACAATAAAACAAAACGTCAAAATCAAAATGAAAGCATTGTAAAGTAGTTTTAGAGATCAGTTTCTTTATAGATTTTATTTTTCAAATATCTATTTTTGTGGTTGTTGTTTGGGACTAGAAGTGATCAGCTGATGATCAGCTTTTCCCTAAGTCTATCTAGCTCTCAAATGTTATTCTTTGAAATCACCTTTAAGAAATTGCATATAGAACTTGGTCTATTATTGTTATTATTATTAGTGGGAGGTGGGGGTTGCTGTGTTTTCACTTAGCGCTAGAAAAGAAATAGAGCCAATGGCAGCAAAGAGCCCATTGGCTTTGCAGTCAGATGGACCTGGATTTTAATTCCAGACCCATGGCTTTCTAGCGGTGTGGCCGTGGGAAACACATTTAACCTCTCTGAGACTTAGTTCCCTCATCAATTTTGAACATCAAAAAGAAATTGTACTAACTGGTAACATGAGTGTATTAGTTTGCTGAGGCTCCCTTAACAAAATACCTTGGACTGAGTGGCTTAAACAACAGAAAATGATTTTCTCACAGTTTTGGAGACTAGAAGTCCCTGACTAAGGTTCCAGCAGCTTTGGGTTCTTCCACATCTGCTCTCCTTGGTTTGCAGATGGCCGCCTTCTCACTGTGTCTTCACGTGATCTTTTCTCTGCGTTTGCACATCCCTAGTGTCTCTTCTGCTTCTTTGTATAAGAACACCAGTCCTGTTGGATCAGATTCCCATCCTTATGACCTCATTTAAACCTTAAAGGCCCTGTCTCCAAATGCCGTCACATTTGGGATTAGGGCATCAATATATGAGTTTTTGGGAAGTGGGTGGTGGGGGGGACAGTTTAATCTGGAGAAATGAAAGACACCTTCATAATATAAGAGAAACTTAGTTCACTCTTTCCCCCACCAAGCTTAAGTCCTCCAAAATTAAAACAAGGGATTTTACAACAATCTTAGAACAAATCTGGAACACATAATGCTGATTTGTTTATATAGGTGCACTGGTACTTAGTATATATTTGGTAGCCAACAAATTTTGGTTGATTTGGACACATTTAAATTGAATTGGAATGTATGAGTTACCCCGACCAGAAAGCATTTATCAATTGGATACCAGTGTGGTCCAACAGAATTTCTTTACTTCATCTGGGTTAGATTTAGATAACTTCTTTCTAGAACAAGTGAGCCCTTGATGCCCCTTTTAAACTTTGCAGCAACTATCTCTACTCTCTGAGGATATTTTTATGCTATACCAAAACATGATTTGCACCCCCGTAGAGTCTGGTCACAGAGTTCCTTCTCATCACACATCTACCATTTTCTTTTGATTTTACATAGCTGTCTGCATTGTCTCAGTGTAACTCCTTTCTGCTTAGGCTCTCTGGAAACCTTGTACTCTTGTAAACCAAATCTCCCATGTTGTCATCCTTTCACCGAATTCTTTGTATATCTGCATACCATGCTTGAACTGAGGCACTCCTTTGATTACATAACTTACCCGGTAACCCCTTACTTAGTGTGCCATGAAACATGGGTGAATGATCTTCTGACTGCAGACTGTTGTCTCCATACTCCTGTTTGAAATCTTCCTTTGAGGTTCCTGCTCTCTGACTGTGTTTATTTCTACCCCTCTCACTCTGCCATTCATGGATCTCCCGATGGTTCTACCCTAATTTTGCAGATCTTGGGACCAATCTCACTTTTCTTCTCTACCCCTGTTGAGAGGAAAAATGCATGTTTAGACAATTTTTACAATACCCTCATTTGTAACACTTTTATTTCCTCAATTCTACATCTTTCATTTCAACTTCACTACAGGTACCTGCTTCTAGGTCCCTTACTGAGAAACATTAAACTCCAGTATTACTCTCTTCAACCACAACCTCCTCCCTTCTCTTTCAAACTCTCACTCCCATTGTCTCTCATATTTAATCTCATAGACAAAGGTCCTTGCTCTGCTCGCTTTCTCATTATATCAACTGCCTACTGGCATTTTTATTTCCCCTTCCCAGCTCAGGCCCTTTGAATATGGGAACTATGCTTTCTCTGATACTGCTGGTTCCCCTGTTCCTTCTGCTATATCCATCTTTATAGCCTTACTCTTAATAAATGCTACAATCAGCTTTTAAATACATTATATCACTTCAGTCTCACAACTCCTGCAAGAGATGTGTGGAGATATGGCAGAGGCCATTTTTTCTGCTTTACAGTTCAGGAACCAGATTCTCAGCAAGGCTAAGAATACACTGGTGGTACATAGATGAGTATACAGCAAAGCACAAATCTTGGGATCCTGATTTCACAGCTTTTCTCAGGGACTAGTGGTTTTAAAGCTATAATTTTTTATAGATTTTTCCCCCAGAAATTGATGTCTCAATGTATAAAACAGATAAAAACATGCTTTTTTGGAAGATCGAGTCTGAAGGGCCCAGAATTTCTATGTGTTCAGCTTCCTTATTGCTACCCAAGTTGCCTGGCCTCCAGTGTACCTGAGTTTTATGGAAGAAATGCATTTTGGATAATTTTGTATCCCCAAACCTCTAGTGGCTTTAGTTCCCAGAAGAAATGTGTATATATATATGTATAGTGATTATACAAAGCTTATTGTAACAGAGGAAAGGAAAAACACAACGTAGAGATAAATGAGAGTGCCTCTGAAGGGAAAAGTGAAAACAGTTTGGTTTCTTAGAGACTGGCCCTGGAACCTGTCTTATTTAACATTTTCATAAATGATTTGGAAGAGGGAATGCATGGTGAATTACGCAAGTTTGCAGATGACACTAAGCTCTTCCAGGTAGTGAAATGCCAAGCAGATGGAGATAAACTGCAGGGAGAACTTGCCAGCCTGTGTGAGTGGGCAGAAAAGTGGTAGATGATATTCAATGTGGGCATTGAAAGGTAATTTACTTAGGAAAAAAAATACAGTCTATACTTATCAATAAATAAGCTGAGTTATCCATTAGTACCATAAAAGTTACAGGCAGTTTTTATAGACTACTCTTTGACATAACCTTTGTATATATTGACAAATCAAGATGGGAATTGAAAATAAACACACAGAAACATTAACCCTGAATTAAATGATATATCATAATATGGAATATTTAATCCATTTCCCAACTAATATTAATTGAATATCTGGTATGTGTTCTGGGCATTGAAATCTGTTTGGTTATGCATCCTTTTTTTTTTTTAAAAAGAACATCTACAAAATAAGAAGGCTAATGAGGACAGACTAAAAATTAGGCCACAATTGTCAAAGCTTGAAATAAATACAAATAACATTTTTAAAAATTTTGAATGTTCTGAGCATTTTCCCTTCTTTCATTTGGCATTACAATTGCCTATGAGATAGAAATGCAGGAATTTTTTTTCTAATAGGTTTACATATGTTAACTTGGAGGGTAAGATTGTTTGAATGAAGTACCTAGTTTCATAAAATAGTGGAGGGTAAAATTCAAGTGTGAGTTTTCTGATGCTAACTTCTGTTCCTTTTCTAAAGTACCATGCACCTTTACTTATCAAGAAGTAAATTAAAATAATTTTATTACATCCAAAAATGGAAAGATTGGGCATGTAAAAAGATTCTGGATGGATGGGTAATGTGATTGTTATGTAAGCTGTGGATGAAGCAGATGTTAATGAAGATACACATAACCCTGCAGTACCTCTTTCAGTGTTTATCCCTTTTATTAACAGTATGTGGCTTTGAGGAATCATGGGCAGTTTCTAGAGTATCACCAACAACGTGTAAGTCAAATAGCATTTTAAGACTTCATTATAATGGCAGAAGGAAAGAACCAACAAACACACAGTTCAGGGTACCCAATAAAGGTGGAACACCTGCCTACTCCCTAGGCTAGCATTCTGCATACATGTTATGTGGTAGTACTATTGAAGCTGTACATTTTGGCCATAAATAAGTGAAAGACATGAAGATCAGAGAAGAATGAGTCCAGAAAGCCTTAGCAGATAAGGTATGTGGTAATTAATAGCTTAGAGTTCAGAGACAAACTTAGAGGTGAACCAAGCAATACCCAAGAGATAAAGGTTGCTGAGACTAAAGGGAGAAAAAGGGAGGGGAAAGGAGTGATAGCAGAGAATGTGGGATCAAAAAGTGAATGAATAAAAATTAATATCCAATAAAATATGACTGGGATAAAGTTAGTCATAGTCATATTATTTTTCCTGCTGTATTATTCTGGGTACTCAAGTCATTAAGCTTGTGAAATATGACCCTGGAATAATTCAATTATTACTATAATAATGTAAATTTATATTCCAGATTTCTTTTTTCAAGATTATATAATTATAAGAAATGTACATGTGTTCTTTATGCCTTGAGACCTTTTTCTCATTTGAGCTTCTTCTATTATGTTGACCTCTTAAAAACACAATCTCTTTCCCCTGTTCTTGTACCTGCTCATGGCCTCTGCTCTGGTAAATTCTTGTACATATAAAACAACCCCCGCCAGCTCTACTTCATCAAACTCTAACCATCACTCAAGACTGAACCCAGTCACCCTAATCTGCTCATTTATGTATTTGTTCATTTACCCATTTTACAAATATTTAATAAAAATCTATATTAATGGAACTTGGCTTATCTATTCTCATGCATCTATAGTATATATAGTCCATACTATTTTACTGTGAATTATTTGTGCATTGGTCTTGCCACAGCAAAAGATTGTTGAATATATGTAAATTACTGGAGAGAAGGGACCATAGTTTTTGAATATTTTTCTATGTATCTCGCCCATAGTGCTGAAATATAGTACAACCTTTTGCTTGGTTGATTGCCTTATAGATTGAAATTGTCATTTGAAACATAATACATATATATCAGCTGCTTTGAAGTAGAAAATAATTAAGCATTTTGTTTTTTCTGAAGAATTATCTTTCACTTTGGAGATAAGATTTCCCAAATTCAAAGGATATCCCCCAAAAGTCTTCAAACATAGCCTCATGATGCTGTTTCCAGTTCTAGAAGAGTTTTGTATCTATTACACTACTATTCAAATTTTTCCCACTTAAAACCGTCATTCAATTTTAGCTGTTTTCCTAACTTTGTCCTGCAATGCTTCCTTCTTAAATATTCACTTTGATATCGTGTTCATCTTTCATATTCAAACCTTCTTTTTGTCATATATGAATAGTCTTGGACTTTTTCCTAGAGAAATCCTGTTGTGCCAAGTGGGTGTCATAGCACCTGGTGTTGGTCATTTAAAATGTATGTCCAAAAAACTCATATAACTGTCATTGCGCTTTTATCCAGAATCACAACATAATTACAGATGATTAAAAAAAAAAAACCAATGACGACGACAACAACAACAAAATAGACAGTGGGAGTGCCATGCAAAGATAAGCAAACAAGGGAGCATTTAGGGAGATTGTGAAAAGCAAAGCATAAAGAAAAGACAATAGATGAAAGCTGAGATGTGAGTACCACATCTTGCCACACAAAACAAACAAATGCAAAACAAACACAAAACCCCACTGCACTCACCAGGTCAGGCTATTTAAAAGTAACCATTTGGGAAAGTGTGGGTAGTCTGTAACAAAAGTCTTGAATTGTGGCCAGAGAAGAATTTAAAGCATGTTCTGAAAGGCCTAAGCTAAGTGTGAGAACATCTTCTGTCCAGCTGTACATGCTGAGGTGACTGTGTTTCTGTCATATTCAGCTCCACATTTTCTACTGTGCCTGACATGTGGTAGCCATGAAATAAAAAGTATTGAATTAAACTAGGTTACCTTTCATGGATTAATGTAACAGAATACCTAGCTATTACTTTAGCAGAAAGTAGAGATAAGGGAAAAGAACTGTAAGTCTGGAAGAGAAGATAGAATTGGTGGCCCAGTGAGCCAGGACAGCAGAGAAGCACTGGTCAGGTGCTGCGTCAGGAAAAAGCAGCCATGGAGAAAGGATGGCTGTGGAAAGAAGTTATAGAGGGTCTTGGACATGATTTTTGCTGATGTAATAATTTTACATAGGGCCAGAACTCATTGACGATGTCTTTGGTAGACTAGCTCCATAATTCTGTTTCAAAAATGCTATAGAATTCTGCTTTCCCTTTCCCCTCAAGTTTCACTTTCCAAAAATCCATCCAATTATTCTCCCTGGTTTATCCCATTGTAGAGTGTTGAGTAATTCTAGCAGGGGACTCCTAATTTGTAAATGTTCAGTTCCAAGTGTTTTCTTACCAGCCTTTCATCAGTAGCTATTTTAGCAGTCTTCATTACTTACTAATTGTCTACTTTCTTTGGTGTACCACTAAAAAAAAAAAAAAAAAAAAAAAAACTAATTCAGAATTTTAGCCATTGTTGAGTAGTCATTGATTTCATGCCTGCCCCATTTATTTAAAGTCTGTTTTCTCTTACTCTCTTTTTGATTCAACAATTTTACATATACTTAGTTTTCTTATTATTTTTAATCTCTTTGGCTAGTACTAATGCTTCTATTTTTTTGTGGCCATTATTTGCTTTCAGCTGTGAGAAACTGATTCGTACTCTTCTACAATAAACTATTGTTTCTTATTAAATGCTAAATAATAATACATAATGATGGTAGTGAAAGAAAATAGAAGATAGTTTCCTGCCCTTGCAGTGATCACAGTCTAAAAGAGGAAACAGAACACAGACTCAGACTCACATGACTAAAACATGCCTACCATCAATTAATTACTACTATCTAGAAAATACTAACTATTCAGAGATCTGGGGAGGAGGGGTTGGTGGCTATTTTAGTTGAGTGATTTTAATGACTGGAGGCAGATAATTTTATTTGAGAATATCTTCATGGAACAAGTGAGTCTTGAAGGAAGCAACTGTGAGTGAAGTTTAAGACAAGGGATTAGTGTGATAACCTTTGCATATTTGAAAATGTCTAAGCACCTGAATGCTGAAATTATTAGCTAGATACGTGATGTTTGGAGTAAGAAAAATGAAAGTGAGTGCAGACTCGGGACACATCTTTCTTTGGTTATTCAAAGAAGCCAATGACATTTTGAAATATTTTAATCACAAATTAATGCGTGGTTTATTGGATAACATTTTTTGTTGTTGTTCACGACAGCTGTTGTTTGGGACTAAAAGTAACAAGGTGCTGGATATTTTTCCTATCTAATGTCTTTCATTATCTTGACAAGGACTTGGAGTGCAGTATAGAAAAACCTCAAACTCTTTACTACTGTGGAGACGACTGTTGTTGGATGATTTTTAATATTGATACCAGTATTATGTCAAGCTAAAACACTTACCTAAATTATCTAAAGTATCTAGAACACGGCTCCATCATGTCTATACAATGGTATTTTTTATTTCCTTTCAACACTAAGTTCATTTTAGCCACTCCTGAAATTATGCTCATTACCAGATATTCTTTCCCTTACATGATTCCTCTTTATCTTTTGAAGTCTTTGCATCCTTTAGGCCTAAATTCAAGCCTTATTTTCAAAAGCTTTTTTCTTAATATTCTAACTATTTTCTTAAAATTACTTCTAAGAGTGACTGCATTGTGGTTATACACTATGTGTATGTGATTGTTTTGGTCTTGAATTGCAAATTAAAATATGAACTTTTATAGGCAAGTACCATGGTTGCTTCTGTATCCCACAGAGTTAAGCAGGGAGCTGAAATATAATCAATTTTTAATAAAAGTTTGTTGATTGAATAGTTGAAAACTAGCAATTCCTTTATGTTGTGGAGGCAAAAGGCATCAGGGCAATGGCGTGAGTCTCTTTTTGTCCATATGGATTCTGTAGATATGGATTTTACTTACTAGTTAAACATTAAAACAAAGCCACAGTATTTCCATTGAGTCTGGACAATCAACTATGTCTTAGTGAACATAAAATGCTACTTACTTCTAAGTCCTCTTCCCACAATGAGGTTCTATTCCCTCTTTTGAAGGCTTATAGCATTGCTTTTTATTGATTTCTGTCTGCAACAACCCAATGCTGTTTACTTGGTATTACATAATAGCAACGACAGCAACATATAACAAAGTGATTCATTCTTTTTTAACGTCAGAATACTCTGAAGGGAGTTCAGTAATTTCAGTGGCTTATTGGGTATGTGACCATATAATTTATTATTCCAACTGAGGTATTTCTGACAATGAAAATGAACTTTATTAATAATTACAATGGGATCATAGATATAAACCAGGACTGTCCAAAACACACTAAAATATATGATCATCCTATATACTAGTGTCCTGGAATTTGCTATGGAGTAATAAGAAAAAGTAATTAGGGTGGAATAGAGCTATTTATTTTCTCTTCCTTCTTATCTCATAATCCATTTCTTAGTGGCTTAAGGGCTGTCATTAGGAATTCCATGTGTATTAAGAATTCTAGGCCGGGCGCGGTGGCTCACTCCTGTAATCCCAGCACTTTGGGAGGCCGAGGCGGGCGGATCACGAGGTCAGGAGATCGAGACCATCCCGGCTAAAATGGTGAAACCCCGTCTCTACTAAAAATACAAAAAATTAGCCGGGCGTAGTGGCGGGCGCCTGTAGTCCCAGCTACTTGGGAGGCTGAGGCAGGAGAATGGCGTGAACCCGGGAGGCGGAGCTTGCAGTGAGCCGAGATCCCGCCACTGCACTCCAGCCTGGGCGACAGAGCAAGACTCCGTCTCAAAAAAAAAAAAAAAAAAAAAAAGAATTCTAGCCAGGCCAGGCACCATGGCCCACACCTGTAATCTCAGTGCTTTGAGAGGCTGAGGCAAGAGGATTGCTTGAAGTTAAGAGTTCAAGAGCAGCCTGGGCAACATAGTGAGACCCTGTCTCTCCAAAAAAATAAAAAGAGCCATGGTTATTTGTACCTGTAGTCCTACCTACTAGCTAACTAGCTACTCTGAAGGCTGGGACAACAGGATGAGAGGATCTACTGAAGTCAGGAGTTCGAGGTGGCAGTGAGCTATGATTGTGCCACTGTACTCCAGTGTGGGTGACAGAGCGAGACCCCATCTGTATTAGTTCATTCTCACATTGCTATTAATAACTACCTCAGACTAGGTAATTTATAAAGAAAAGAGGTTTAGTTGGCTCACAGTTCTATAGGCTGTATAGGAAGCATGGCTGGGGAGGCCTCAGGAAACTTACAAGCATGGTGGAAGGTGAAGAGAAAGCTGGCACATCCTACATGCCTGGATCAGGAGGAAGACAGCGGCAAGGGGGAGTTGCTACACACTTTCACACAAACATATCTCCTGAGAACTCTATCATGAGAGCAGCAAGGTAGAAGTCTGCCCTCATGATTCAGTCATCTCCCACCAGGTCCCTCCTCCAACAATTCCACATGAGATTTGGGTAGGGATACAGAGCCAAACCATATCACCATCTATCAAAAAAGGAAAAAAGAAATTCCACACAGTAGACTGGCAGCAGTATGGGATTTTATTCCCTACTGTTTAGCTTATAAAAATAGTAGTTTACAATAATTATGTACAAGACCACTTTCCTGTTTTCTATTACAAACTTTACATACAACCCATTTTCATTAAACTTTTCAATAATGGCAGTCTCATTGTTCATAATTCAGGACCTCAACATTTGGCTTTTGCAACTGCTTAGGTTGAATCCTATGATATATTACTATCTGGATTTACTTAGGCCAATGGTCCCATAGCATATCTACAGGATTTTAAGTATCCTTGGAATTATTATGATCAGGTTTATTGCCATAAATGTGTCCATACCAGACAATTTTGCTAAATTAGGCATTACTTAACACAGTCAACCTTTTAAAGAAGTCACACTTAGAAGCCTTTTATACTTTTATTTCTTTCTTTCAACTTTATTTTAGATACAGAGGGTACATGTGCAGATTTTATACATGGGAATATTGTGTGATACTGGTATTTGGAGTATGGATCCCATCACCTAAGTAGCCAGCATAGTACCCAAGAGGTAGTTGTTTTACCCATACCCCCACCCTTTAGTAGCTCACAGTGTCTATTTTTCTCATATTTATGTTCACGTGGGCTCAGTGTTTAGCTTTCACTTATAAGTGAGAACATGCAGTATTTGATTTTCAGTTCCCATGTTGATTTTCTTAGGAAAATAGCCTCCAGCTCCATCAATGTTGCTGCAAAAGACGTGATTTTATTCCTTTCTGTGATTGAATTGTATTCCATGGTGTGTATTTACCACATTTTCTTTATCCAGTCTACCACTGATGGGCACCTGGGTGGATTCCATGTCTTTGCTATTGTGAATAGTGCAGCAATGAACGTACAAGTGTGTGTGCCTTTTTGGTAGAATGTTTCATTTTCTTTTGGAGATATACCCAGTAATGGGATTGCTGGGTTGAATGGTGGCTGTGTTTTAAGTTCTTTGAGAAATCTTCAAACTGCTTTCCACAGTAGCTGGACTAATTTACAATTTACATTCCCATTAACAATGTATAAACGTTTCCTTTTTTGTGCAGCCTGGCCTGCACATGTTGGTTTTTGACTTTTTAATAATAACATTAATGACTATTGTGAGATGGTATCTTATTGTAGTTTTGATTTGCATTTCTCTGATGATTAGTGATAATAAACATTTTTTATATTTCAAATCCTTATGTATTTCCATATATTTGTTGGCTGCTTATATTTCTCCTTTTGAGAAGTGTCTGTTTATGTCCTTTGCCCATTTTTAATGAGGTTATTTGTTTTGTGCTGGTTGATTTCAGTTCCCTGTAGATTCTACATATTAGGCCTTTGTCAGATGTATAGTTTGCAAATGTCTTCTTTTACTATGTAGCTTATTTGTTTGCTCTGTTGATATTTTGCTGTACATAAGCTCTTTAGTTTAATTAGGTCTAATTGTCTGTTTTGTTTTTGCTATGATCGCTTTTGGGGACTTATCCAAAAATCATTTGCCAAGGCCAATGTCAAGAAGAGTATTTACTAATTTTTCTTACAGAATTTTTATAGTTACAAGTCTTACATTTAAATCATTAACCCATTTTGAGCTAATTTTTGTATATGATGAAAGTATGAAGTCCAGCTTCAAAGTTCTGCAGATGGCTAGTTATTTATCCCAGCACGATGTATTAAATAGGAGATCCTTTTCCCACTGCTTGTTTTTGCTGGCGCTGTTGAAGATCAGATAGTTGTAGGTGTGCAGCTTTATTTCTCAGTTTTCTATCCTGTTCCATTGATCTATGTGTCTGTTTTTGTACCAGTACCAAGCTTTTTGTTTACAGTGGCTTTGTAGTGTAGTTTAAAGTCAGGTAGCATGATGCCTCTGGCTTTGTTCTTTTTGCTTAGGATTGCTTTGGCTATTTGAGCTCTTTTTTCATTCCATATGAGTTTTAGAATAGTTTCTTCTAGTTATGTGAAGAATGTCATTGATAGTTTGATAGCAATAGCATTGAATCTTTAAATTGCTTTGGACAGTATGGCCATTTTTACAATATTGATTTTCCCAATCCATGAACATGAATGATTTTTCCATTTACTTGTTTCATCTCTGATTTCTTTCAGCAGTGTTTTCTTTTTCTCCTTGTGGAGATATTATACTTAATACATAGCCCACAAGCACTATGAAGAAACTACACAATCAAGTCTACGTAACAGCCAGCTAACAACATGATGACAGATCAAAATCATACATCTTATACTAATCTTGAATGTAAATGCACTTAATACCCCACTTAAAAGACACAGAGTGGCAGCTAGATAAAAAGACAAGACACAAACATAGGTTGTCTTCAACAGACCCATCTCGTAGGTAACGACACCCATAGGGTCAGAGTTAAAAGGGTGGAATAAGATCTACCATGCAAATGGGGGGGAAGAGGGAGCAAGAGTTGCTATTTTCATATCAGATAAAACATACCTTAAACCAATAAAAATTAAGAAGGACAATGAAGGCCATTACACAATGATAAAGGGTACAATCCAACAAGAAGCCTTAACTATTCTAAATTTATATGCACCAAAATTGGAGCACCCAGATTCATAAAACAACTTCTTTTTGGCCTGTGAAAAGACTAAGACAACTACACAATAGTAGAGGGAGACTTCATACCCAATTGACTGTTAGATCATCGAGGGAAAAATCTAACAAAGAAACTCTAGACCTAAACTCGACATTTGACCAAATGGACCAAATAGAAATCTACAGAACATTATGCTGAATAACCACAGAATATTCTTCTCATCTACACACAGAACATATTTTGAGATTGACCACATGCTCAGCCATAAAGCGAGCCTCAATACATTAAAAAAAATTGAAATTATAGTAGCATGTTTTCAGACCATAGGACAATGAAAATAGAAACCAATATCAAGAAGATCTCTCCAAACTGCACCAATACATAGAAATTAAAAAACTTACCCTTGAAATAAAAAAATCTTTGCAGTTAATGAAAATGGGAGACATCTTGCCAAAATCTCTGGAATACAGCCAAAGCAATGTTAAGAGGAATGTTTGTAGCCTTAAATGCCTTCATCAACACATTAGAAAGCCCTCAAGTTAACTTTGCACCTAAAGGAACTAGGAAAAAAGGAACAAATCAACCCCAAAACTAGCAAAAGAAAAGAAATAACTAAAATTAGAGAGGAACTTAATGAAATTGACATTCGAAAATTCATACAAAAATCAATGAAACCAAGAGTTGGTTTTTTGAAAACATAAATAAGATTGATAGACCCCTAGCTAGATTAACAAAGAAAAATAAAGAGAAGATCCAAATGAGCACAATCAGAAATGAAAAAGGTAATATTACAGCTGATCCCACAGAAATACAAAAGATCCTCAGAAAATACTATGATCAACTCTATGCACACAAATTAGAAAAACTAGAGTAAATGGATAAATTCTTAGAAGCACATATTCTCCCAAGATTGAATCAGGAAGAGATTGAAATCCTGAATAGACCAGTATCAACTTTGGATATTGAATCAATAATAATGAATCTGCCAATCGAAAATAGCCCTGGACCAGATGGATTCAAACCTGAATCCTACCAGATGCACAAAAACTGTTAAT